>NC_000012.12:108217703-108369218 GCF_000001405.40 Homo sapiens
CTCCTGGAACTGACTTCCCAAACTTATCCCCCTCACTGCACCCCCAGAACACATCTTGCCCAAAGAGGTGCACAGCAGTAGCTTCTAATCCATCTCGGGCCCTTTAAGTCCTCTAAAAATTTCACCTTACTTGGTATTCAGAGCATTCAGTTTAGCCCTCCTCTCTAAGCTGGGAGAGTCAGGGACTCATTAGCAGGTGCTTAAATGTCAAAGGGAGGCCAGTCTCTGCAGAGCTTCCTTCCTCTTCCTACTCTGGCCTCCTAATATCTAGGCAGGCTGGAAGAAATCACATGGAGAAATGCCAGCCTAGGGATTCCACATGGGTCTCCCCCTCTTTTCAGTCTAAGGACAGCTGGCAAGCAGACGGACCTTTGACTGCCCCCTCTCTAGTACCTGCAGCTCACAAAGTTTATCCATGTCCATCTCTGAATGATCCACCCAATATTTATGCCCCCATTTTAGAGATGAGAACATTAAGACTCTGAAATGAGAGGAAACTTGCCCATGGTCAAAGACAAAGAAGGGCAGAGGTGCCAGTGGGTGCCATGTGAAGGAGAGTTCCCCATTTTACAGCTGAAGATGCTGAGTTCCAGAGAGGAGAAACAGAGTCGGGATTAGAGCTCGTGTTTCCTAGTTGCTAAGTCTTCTGTTCCTCAGCCAGGATGGCTCATCCTGAGCCTGTCAGTCCAGGGAAATGCCATGGCTCTCTGGTGTGGTGCCAGAATGGAAGGCCTCTCCTAGGGCTCTGGGCTAGGATGGGTCCCCTGAAGCTCATCTGGAGATGCATGTTAATGTGACCCATCAGTGGACTGAGCCCAAAAGATGGGTGCCCAGCTTGGGGGCAGGGGAGAGGGCACAGCGCTTGGCCAAGGAAGCCTAGAGGAAGATGCATGTGTGCCACCCACAGGCCCTGAGTGATGCCCCAGTGCCTTCAATTATTTGGGGCCATGCTCTTAGAGGATGCAAGGGTGACTCCTGAGGGTGAAGGACCCCAAAGACCACCCTGGGCTTGCTTCAGCTTTCACATACCCACAGTCAGACATGCACACTCCCATACGGAGATGACTTGTATATGAGGTCCACTGTGATGCAAACAACCGGGACAGACACCAGCAGTGTCCCTGGCTGTGGGCACCAGGTGCAAGGGTCCCCAGTGCTCTTGGCATCCTGAGAAAAGACTCCACCTGGGCTGGGCTCCATCAGAGGGACCTACCCATCAAGTTACTCTCTCTTCTTATGATGCATTTCCCCTTGCACTGGGGAAATAAGTATTTTTATCTGAACCTAGGTGCCAGCTGTTGAGGGGATGGTTGGGAAATGTCAAACCCCTGGTGGCATTGAGCTGGGCTCATGAGGGACTGGCTGAAGCCCAGCCTCATCCTCTACTAGAAGAGGAGCCCTCTTCTCAGCCAGCTGGTTGCCAGGCAACCCAGAGAGAGCCCGTGGGATTATTGTCTCCACGTGCATAAACACCTTATGGTAAGACTTGCCCTCCTAGAGGTTGATTTGATGCACAACCACACAAGTTATCTACAGAAGTGCAAAGTCAAATGCACAGGGCCATAGACTCCTATGTTCCCCCATAGACAGACCCACTATGTGCAGATGAGCACGGTCCACAGGATCACATTTGCATTCCCAGAGGTCGGCATCCACATGCCCAGACAGGTGGATCTGCACTCACACTGGCATGAGCACAGTCACACATACACATAGGAGGCACACATCATCACTCACACCCTTTCATACACAGATGCACACTGTGTGCACAGCAACAGATACACATTCAGTGTCATGTCCCACTGCCCAAACAATCTCAGTGCAGCCAGACCCACAACTGCCCTCACACAGCCTCTCCTGCCCCCATTAATGCACAGACACACACAAACACACACACATGCACAAACACCACTCACTTCTTCAGACACGACTGTGTCTTCCCAACACACTGCTGTGTTGGGGGCCTCAGACCCCACCAGGGTAGTGGAACAGGACTCAAGAAAGGACCCACATTACAGGATAAGAGCTGGTGGGCTTGGGATCCCTGCAAGGGTACCCAGGACAACCCCAAAGGGGCCTCCGTTGGCCCCAACCCCCAAAATACTGTCTGTAGCAACCCTCCAAGCTCTAGGATTTCATGATGGTCCCTCAAATAAGATCCTGGTGGCAGGTTAACAATTTGAAGTTGGTTCTAGAGACCCAGGGTCAAGATCTGGACATTTGAGGATGCTTAAAGAATAATCAGACTCCAGTGTCAGGCAACCTCAGAGTGACAGCCCTGACTTTCTGAGTGATTTGTGGTGAAAAGCAGAGTGGACACGAAGGGTGGGAGAGAGAAAATCAATGTCCCACTGTTGTGAAATGCTAAAGCCAGGGGTGGCTTTTTAAAAAGAGACAGCCCAGGACAGTGCAAACTTGGAGTTCAGACATTCCTAGGTTGGAATCCAGATACTGCCACTTGTCAGCTGTATGGCCTTGGGCAAGTCACTTCCCCTCTGCACCTGTTTTCTCTTCTTTATAATGGAGAGAATGAGATCTTCCTGCTAAGGGTTAGGAGGGTTCCATTGGATAAGATATATCAAGCGTTTACACAATGCCTGGCACTTGATAAATATCAAAGATGTCAGACTAACTCTTGCAAGCTGGGTGACCTGTATCAAGCAGTTTCAGTCCTCTGAGCCTTGAGTTTCCTCATCTGTAAAAATGGGAAGCCCCATAGGACCAGGGTGAATGGGAGAGTTCAATGAGACCACATGTGTGAACAGCTCAGCCTACTTCCCATCACATACCACACAACCAGTACATGGTAGCAATAATGATCACAACAATATTACGATTTTTTTAAAGACAAGGTCCCACTCTGTCAACCAGGCTGGAGTGCGGGGGCATGATCATGGCTCATTGCAGCCTCGACTGCCTGGGCTCAAGCAATTCTTCCATATCAGCCTCCTGAGTAGCTGGGACTACAGTTGTGTGCCACCACACATAGCTAATTAAAAATATATATATATATTTGTAGAGATAGGGTCTTGCTGTGTTGCTCAGTCTGGTCTCAAATTCCTGGGCTCAGGGGATCCTCCTGCTTTGGCCTCCTAAAGTGTTGGGCTTACAGGTGTGACTCACTGCACCCTGCCAACATTATATTAATATAAGCATCTATTCATAATAGTATCATTATTATTGGAAGAAGCACAGGCTTTGGAGACACAGAAACCTGGCTTCGATCTCACTCTGTTGTTTGTCAGCTCTGTAACACTGGAAGCCAGCTAGCCTCCCTCAGCCTCCTCAGTTTTCTCATCTGTGAGATGGAGGTACTCATAGCATCTATCGCCTATGGCTGCTGTGCAGACTGAATGGACCCAGAGTTCCCAGCATGGAGCCTGGCATCAGCAGGAACTCAGCAAATTCAAGTGGAGTGGAAAGAGGGAGGAAAAGCCAGCATCTGGTTGCCCGGTGACCTGAGTTAGCATCCGGCTGACTGAGTTTTCTGGTTAAGTGAGGGTTCATCCACAGTGCTTGGGACTTCCCGCCTCATTGCCATAAATCTTTAGCTCAAATGCCCACTTTCCCGGTGGGTGTGGTGACTCACGCCTGTAATTCCAGCACTTTGGGAGGCTGAGACAAGCAGATCACTTGAGGTCAGGAGTTCCAGACCAGCCTGGCCAACAGGGTTAAACCCCATCTCTACTAAAAATACAAAAATTGAGCTGGGTGTGGTGGTGCACATCTTTAATCCCAGGTACTCAGGAGGATGAGGCAGGAAAATCACTTGAACCCAGGAGGTGCAGGTTGCAGGAAGCCAAGATTGCACCACTGCACTCCATCCTCTGGGTGACCTTACAGGGCATCCCTCTCAGCAACCCAGGCCACAAGATGGAAGACTGTCCAGTGTTTCTTTACAGGGCACTAGTGGCATCTGGATGTGCATGTGCTCATTTAGGAGGTGAAGGGCTGTCCTGTACAGAACAGGCATGCACATTTCTGGCCCCAAACTTTCAAGTGCCAGTGGCCTCAAATCATTGGAGCAGGCGTTCCCACACCTCTTTGAATGTTCTCAGGGTAGTAGGCATGAGAGTTACTGCATAGTTTAACTCCCAGTCCTCGTTTATATGTGGGGAAACTGAGGCCTGGAGGGACCACGCAGCAGATCAGCAGCATCCTGACACTATCACCACTACCACTGCCACCTGTCTCACCAGGATAAAGCCAGAGACCCAGAAAGCTAAGACAGCAGGAGTCTGGGGGATGCCTTGGAAATTCATCATTTAACCAAATTCCTAATGTCCTCTTAGTTTTCTTGGCTTGTCACTGCAATGAGCAACTTCAGGCTATCAGGCGCCATGTGGTAGAAAGAATCACTAGGGAGTCTTTGATGGCTAAAATATAAAATTATCATTCATAAACACCTTCCCCCCACCCTTCTACTCAGGGAGTTATTCCATATCCTCTTCTCTGCACATAAATATAAATATATATGTGTATGCTAAAAAACGCTTTTACACTCTAGATAGACCCAGACACCGCTACAGAGAGAGACATATGGTTTCTGCAACTTGCTTTGCTTTTTTCCAAAGGCTAACACTTTGCTTCTGAGATGAGGCTCAATAAGTTTTTGCAAACGATGGGTCCTTAGATTTGTCTTGCAACCTCTTCTCTCGAAGCCCTGTTTCTCTCATCTGTAAAATGAGAGTTTACAATGAACCTTGCAGGATTTTCAAGAAGGTGAGATGAGCTGATGTTTCTGAAGTGCTCAGCAGAGCAGATGACACATAATAGGTATTCAATAAATGGGGTCTGTTCTTGTGCTGATGGTTTTGATCACACTGTGTTAACAATGCCCTTTGTTATATGTGGATGGCTGTGCTTCTGGAAGGGTATATACAACTCAGAATTTGAGAAACAACCCAATTTTAAATGTATATCACCAGCCTTTCAAAAGATTTAACAGTGGCCACTTAAAATTTTTTTTAATAGAGATGGAGGTCTCACTATGTTGGCCAGGTTGGTCTTCAACGCCTGGCCTCAAGCAATCCTCCTGCCTTGGCTTCACTTTTTTTGTCTTTATTACATAAAAATACATATTCATTGTAGAAAAAAGTTAGAAAAGAGTTTTACAAAGAGATGGAAATAAAAATTACCTATATTCCTACTTGATTGGTCAGAGTTCTCTAGGGAAACAGAACCAACAGGATTAAAACCAATAGGATATGTGGATAGATATATTAAGAGATTTATTTTAAGGAAATTGGCTTACGCAATTGCGGGAGCTGGCAAGTCCGAAATTCATATGGCAGGCCAGCAGACTGGAAACTCAGGCAGCAGTTAATGCTGCGATCTTGAGATGGAATTCCTTCTTCTCCAGGAAGCCTTAGGTTTGCTTTTAAGTCCCTCAACTGATTGCATGAGGCTCACCCACATTATCAAGGGTCATTTCCTCTACTTAAGGTCAACTAACGGTAGATGTCAATCACATACATAAAATACCTTCATAGCAACATCTAGACCAATGTTTCACCAAACAACTGGGCACCATGGCCTAGCTAAGTTGACACATAAAATTTATCCTTCACACCTACTGTCCAGGGACATCACAGTTATTAAAATGTTGGTATATGTCTCTCTAGAGATTAATTTTTTACAAAATTGATATTTTATAACCTGTAGAATTTTACATTCTCAGTTTTTATTTAACTTTGTATCTTAAACACATCTTCACCTGGCTAAAATAACCTTTAACACCATTCTTTTCAATGGAATTCCACTTTCAGTAGAATTCCATTGTGTGTTGTCATTCCAGACATTATTGGCACAATTATCTCATTGCTAGACACCTAGGTTGTTTCTACTCCTTCACTTGTTAATTTTTAAAATGCTGCAATGAACATCCCTATTGATAAATCTTTGTGCACATCTGTACTGGATGCTATAGGCACCCACCCAAGTCCCCTTTCCTGTGGTGACTGTTGGTGGTGATCAATGGCTCACAACTGCCCCCTTCTCTGAAAAATAGCCTTGGGCCCAACAGGAGCAAGCAGCCCCTCCCAGGAAGTTACGCCCCAGCCTGGGGGACAGCCCATAGCCAAAAACTGACTGACATTGGAAGCTAGGATAGACAAGGCCAAGGCAAGCCAGCCCCCTTTCCTTAAGGTGGGGCCAACTCTGTAGTGCAATTTCTCATCCAGAGCCCCCTCCTGATCCCTGCCGTGAGACCAGGATGGAGGTGGCACCCAGCTGAGATCACATCCTCACTTAGTTCTGTCTGGTCCTGCCTCCCGCTTTCTTTCTCTGAGAGCACACCTTCAATGAAACATTTGTCTCAGGCTCTGCTTCAGTAGCCCCAACCTAAGACAACATCTCTGAATATTTTCTTAAGGGATGACTTCTATTGAAGATTTGACAATGGGCTCCAAATTTTTTATTGTGTAGCTGCACGATTTCTGGGTTAAATTTTCTTAAAGGGATTGCCTCTGACATGTCAGTCCCTTGCAGCTTGTCGGTGCCCAATACTGGGTAGGTAGAGACTTCTGAGGCCCAGGACTTTTCCCGTAAAGCCCAGGGCAATGAGAGGGAGAGGAGAACCCTGGTAGTAGTGAGTAAGGACAGGACAGCCCCAGAATCCTTGCTTCCCTCAGTCCTCAAACACTCAGCCCTGATGAGATCACAAAAATCCTCCGTGTACTTGATCATTTCCCTGAATGGGGCATTGCCATGGTTGGGAATGAGGAAGTGAGGCATGGGAATCTGACAAAGAAAGGGGGATAGCATGGCCCAGAAAGAATCTCATCTCAGCGACCTGGGTTGTTGACAAAGGGGCCAGGGTTGAGGAGAACATTCTTTGATGTATCGAGCTCATTGACTGTGAACAGGCATGTTCAAGAACAGAAAACATGGCCACTCTTTCCATCTCTGCTTTGGCTTGCTCTGTGACCTTGGGCAAGACTCTTGCCTTCTCTGAGCTTTCTTCAGAATGTGGTTTTCCCAACCAGATCTGACTCCTTGTATATCTGACTAGTCCTCTTCTCTCTGGCTCTTCAGATGGAAGTGCAGTGTTCCGGGGCTGCTTCCGCAGGCCCGACAACCTTTCCCTGGCCTTACCCGTGACAGCTGCCATGCTGAACATGTCTGTGGACAAATGCGTGGACTTCTGCACTGAGAAGGTGAGCACAAGGTGGGGCCCATGGAACTCAGGGGGAGGGAACCATGCAGCAGAGCTGCAGGAACCACATGCTTGGCTGGAGAAGCAACAGCTCAGTCGGGATAGATGTAGTCGTTGACTGGGATCTATGACGTGGGAGAGGGATGTGACCATTTCACGTGGATCTAAGGGGCTGCAGCTACACAGAATAGATTTTCCTGCCTTTAAGGAAGTGAGTTTAATACTGACGAATACTTAGGAATGAGGGTTATTAGTCCATTTTCATACTGATACTGCTATGAAGAAATATCCCAGATTGGGTAATTCATTTGAAAAAAAGAGATTTAATGGACTCACAGTTTCACATGGCTGAGGAGGCCTCTCAATCATGGTGGAAGGCAAAGGAAAAGCAAAGGCACGTCTTACATGGCAGCAGGCAAGAGAGCGTGTGTACAGGAACTGCCCTTTTTAAAGATGTCAGATCTCATGAGACTTATTCACTATCATGAGAACAGCATGGGAAAAACCCACCCCCATGATTCAGTTACCTCCCACCAGGTCCTTCCCATGACACATGGGGATTATGGGAGCTACAATTCAAGATGAGATTTGGGTGGAGAACACAGCCAAACCACATGAGGGGTGACATTTGAACTGGGCCTAGAAGCATGAAAAAATTACCAGGTAAAGGTAAAGACAGTCCCACCTTGGGACAGAGGGAGTTCCCCACTGGTGGAGGTGTGTGAGCAGAGGCCAGGCAGCAGTGTCATTCAGAGCTTTGGCACTGGATAGCACTTGGGTTGGATGATCTTTCTTCGGCCTAAGGAGCTAGATGTCTGACTGTTTATGTTTCCTCCCTAGCCAGGTTGTGAACTCCCGGAGGGTAGGGGCTGTGCCTTGTATATTTTGTGCCCCCCTTCAATACCCCCAGCACAGAACTGGGCACATAACTGGCACTCAGCGATGTCCAAGTAGCTCCAGCTTTTTCTTAAAATGAGCTAATGACTCAAGTGTCCAGAGGAGAACCATCCCTCCTCCACCACAAAAAGATGGTTGGGCATTTCATTCATTCTAGAGAGTAGTTGAGGGTAGAGAGGTATAAATGCTTTAACACTGAGATGAAGCTTTCTCCTGCAGGACTGAAAGAGAACTGAAAAAGAAATCCCTTTCTCACGGTCATGCAATACACCACAGTAAATGCCCCCTTGGTGTGATGGTGATATGGGACCCACGCTTTGGGAAAAGCTGTCTGAGTCTGTTCTCAGACTCAGTGGCTCTGAGTCACACAGATCCACTGGCTAGTGGATCCAGCCACACAAGTGTGACCCTGGTTTGCTACCAGATTAGTCTTGGACTGGCTACCAGGGAGAACTAGGGGTGGTGGGTCCAGTTTAGAAGCAAATTGGGCAAAAGACAGACCCTTGCCCGCCAGATCTCAGGTCCATCTTGCCCCCACTTAGCTGTTCAATAGAACAAATAAAGCAATCAGAAGCAGCTCTCCCAACAAAGACTCTGGGAACACAGGGTATCAGTATCTCCTTTGGCTTAAAAGAGCAGACTCAGACAGCTTTTCCCAAAGCATGGGTCTCATATCACCATCTCATCAAGGGGGCATTTACTGTGGTGTATTGCATGACCACGAGAAAGGGATTTCTTTTTCAGTTGTCTTTCCAGGAGAAAGCTTCGTTTCAGTGTTTAAGCGTCAACACCTCTCACCCTTAACTACTCTCTATGCAGGAAAAATGGAGCCAGCCCCAGGCTCACAGTCTTGGTTGGCCAGAGTGCCTAGGTAGAATTTCATCACTTGTTTTGTTTCTATATTATGTGCATTTACAGTATGGAGATGTATGGAAGTGCTACTTGTCCACAAGTACTATTAGTGGTAGCCATACAAAGTATCCTTTTAAATTTAAGTTTCAAAAAGTGAATCGACTTAAAGGAAACGAATAAGTAAACAATAGTACAGTAGGTGCACAGGTAGGGCAAAATCACAAAAGCAGGGTTTGTGGATGGAATTTGGGGACCCTCAAGTTAAGGGAGACTGACAGAGAAGACAGTGGTTGAAATGCAAATCCTGTTCTCCATTTGGAGTCTGAAGCTGTCCAGGGATTTAGCAACTCTCTTCCTCTTCTTCTCCCACTCCATCCCCAGGAGTACCCGCTGGCAGCTCTTGCAGGCACCGCCTGCCACTGTGGGTTTCCC
Organism: Homo sapiens; assembly: GCF_000001405.40. Classification (NCBI taxonomy): domain Eukaryota; kingdom Metazoa; phylum Chordata; class Mammalia; order Primates; family Hominidae; genus Homo; species Homo sapiens. The sequence continues at coordinate 108,227,041 of NC_000012.12, forward strand.
ACCACCCGATTCCCGCTCCATGACAGAGAGGATGAGCAGCTCTGTGCCCAGAAGTGCAGCGCGGAGGAGTTTGAGAGCTGCGGGACTCCTAGTTACTTCATTGTGTACCAGACACAAGTCCAAGGTGAGCTAGGCCCTTCCCCAGTGGACCCCAGATGCACTCCCAGTGGCTTCCCTCCCAGACGTGTTCCTGCCAGTCCATCCCACACAGCCTGCAGCAAGGAGAAAACCATGCAAGCCAGAGGGCAGGGCTGATGAACTCCACCAGGCTTAGAGTTCCTGGATGGGCAACAGAAGGAATTCCCAGGGTGGGAAGCGTTCTGATGACCCATCTCTATCCCTCATCACTGAGGACCCTTGGTGGCTCCTGTAGTGAGACTGAATGAGAAGAGAGACTGAGTCTCCCACTGGCTGCAACACAGATTCACTGTGTTATCCCGGACAAGTCATTTCCCCTTTCTGGGCCTCAGTTTTTCCATCTGTAAAATGAAGCTGTAGACTGTTGGCCTCCAGTGTTCCTTCCAATTCTAAGATTTTGTCATTTTATCTATAAGTTCTTCCTTCTTCTCTCTCCCTGTCTCACTCATCCTTTCCACTTCTAGTCTTCTTCCTTTGCTAGCGGAATCCACACTTACTGTTATCTCCTCTTCTGTCTCCTGGGGCTACCAGACATGATGATAATGATGGTGATGATGATGATGATGATGATGATGGTGATGATTATGATGATGGTGATGATCATAATGATGGTGATGATTATGACGATGGTGATGATGATAATGGTGATGATAGTGATAAGAGTGACGCTGATAGTGCTGATGATAGTGATGATGAAAGTGATGATGACGATGATGGTGATGAGAAGGAGGAAGAGGAGGAGGCAGCAACACTTGGAGTTTCTTGAGGTCTTACTCTGTGCCAGACTCAGTGTTGCATCCTTCATATACATGTTTTCATTAAATCCCCTCAACTCTCTATGAGTTGGGAACAGTCATTATGCCCTCTTTACTGTGGGGCGGGGGAGGGGATTGAGACTCAGAACAGTTGAGGAACTTACCTTAAGTCATACTGTTTATAAACTTTCCCAATAAAACCCGTTTCTCCTGACCGAGGTATCATGAAGGGTGGGTGGCACTTGGATGGGGATTGGGGGGCATCCCTTGCTAGGACACTCAGCCCAAAGGAAGCCCCTGAAGGATCACCTCAATATCTGAATATATTGACCATCTACTATGTACCAGTCCTTATGCCGAGCCTCATCTCATTCAGTGATGTGAAGTCCACAGTAAACCTATGATCAGGGCAGTATCATCCCCACTTTACAGATGACAGAACTAAAATTCAGAGAGATTGGGAACTGGCCACAGTTATACATCTACAAAAGCAATTTGTTTTCAGGTGTCTGACTCCAAAGCCCCTGCTAGAAACCTTTGCCCATGCTCCAGTGACACTCCCCACAGTCTGGAGAGCCAAGAAAACACCACTTGGCTAGACCTCCTCCTTCTCATTTCCCAGTCACCAAGCTGCCATATGTGGTAGAGCAGGTTGAGCATTGCACTGGCACAGCCAACAGAAAAAGTGGTGCCTAAAAGCCAGCCACATGTTGTGTGCCCTGGATGGCAGAACATCTGTCCAGAGGAAGGAGTGGGCACCTTTTTCTGATTTGCACAAAAGTGCTGTATGAGCTAGTGGCAGCCCCACCAATAGCCTGTCCCTGTTTGACTGATGGGGTACCAGTGGTGATCAACTGTGGCTGTTTCTATGGTAGCTAAAGTCCTTCTGAGAGCCTAGTGAGCATGTGGCTCTTGGACCTATTTACAGTCCGATGGGGAAGGATGGGTTTTTGTTAGCTTTCGGGGAAGTGCTGGTTAGTCTGTGCAGAGCTGTGCTGCCTTAGCCTGCAGGGGAAAGTCATACACAGATTAATTACCCTGTGATCATGAATGGCTTTGAGGTGGCCAGAACAGACACTGGAGCCTTTTCAACGCAGATAACAATTCCCTAATTGATGAATTTGCTCATTCCCAGTGCCCTACCCCCAGGCCATTACTAGGGCTTCCATTTTGCCACGTCACTCTTGCAGTTTCTACACACTGGGGAGGTTTGACAGTTATGTGGCTCATCAGCCTGCCAAGAGCCTGGCCCACCAGGACTGACATTTATTGAGCACCTACTGTGTGCTAAGCCCTGATGCCCCTTATGGGATAATTATTGAACACTTGCTCTGTGCCAGGCTCTGTCAAATCTTTTACCTGCCTTAAATCATCTAATCATCCAAACAGTCCAGTTGCATAAGCACTGTTATTACCATTTTACAAATGAGGTAACTTGGCACAGGGAGGTTGAGTAACTTGGCCAAAGTCAAACAGCTCTGACATGGCAGTGTAGGGATGCAAACCCAGGCAATCTAGGTCCCAAGACTGCACTGTCAACCCTAGCTTCTCAAAATACATTGTGAAAAATTCACACTCATTATCCCACATAATTGTGTAAGGTTTATTAGCCCTGTTTTATAGGTGAGGAAACTGAGGCTTAGTGAGGGGAAAGCCTTGTTCCATGTCACACAGGTAGGCCATGACAGTTCTGGATGGAAACCCAGGTCGGTCTGATTCCAAAACTGCATATAATACTGCCTGCAACAGTTGCTTAATGTATGGGGCTTAGGAACCAAATCAACTTTCTTTATAGCATTGAAAACCACAACTTTTACCTTCGGGTTGGCCTTGGCCTCCCAGGAAATATTTGAATAGAGAATTCTGTTTTGGGGGGACATTAAGGAGCCTGGTCTGCCCCACCCGACCTATCAACCCAACATTTTGCTCTGGAAAAAAAAAAAAAAAAAGTCAAACCTCCAGAAAAGTCGGAAGAATTATGCAGTGAACACATATATACTCATTCCATAGAATTTTGTGACATACATTAACTTTTGCTGTATTTACTTTATTGTCCATCTCTCCTTTTCTCCATCCCTCAATCCTTCCTAATTTTTGGTGCATTTCCAAGCAAGTTGCAAGCATCATTATACTTCAGGATGTTGTCATTGGTTATATAATTCAATATTAGCTTTCTGAAGTAACACTTCCATAGAGTGGAATGCACATATTTTAAGTGTACTAGTTAATATCAACTGGCTAATCCACTCCCCTATCAAAATATAAAACATAACCATATTCTATAAAGTCCCTGTGTCTGGGCTCCTTTTTGCAGTGTATTCCAATGAAAACCATTCCCTGAAGCTTACTTGGCTTCGACACAGATGTCCCCTGGTTTATTTTATCCTAAATCTGATCATCTCAGAACAAAAATTAAACAGGCAGGAGAAGAAAGCTGAACCTCCAGCTAGCAGGAACAATACCAGGAACCACAATCGATTCTGTGGGCAATTCCGGCATGTTTGTCTCAATCTAACACTGCATTCATTCAAGAATTTCATTCTCCTAAACAACCTCAGGCTGTCATCGCTGCTTAATAGTCCCATTTTATAAGTGAGCAAACTGAGGCTCCGACAGATCATTTTTTTCCTATGTCACCCAAAAAGTAAGTGGAAGAATTGGAATTTAAATCTAGGACTTCACACCTCTCCTTCAAAGGGCTTTTGTGTGAAATTAATGAGGCTCACAGTAAGACTTCAATAAATAGCAGCTAATGCAGAACAGGGAAGACCCTGGTAAAATCTTGGGAAGGAATTACCTAGAGGAGGGCAGCGCTCTGCCCTCATGCCCGAGTAATCACGTGAGGTGAGCTTGTCTCTTGAATTGAGCATGGGGCAGTCACTGAGGACCTTGCCCATAACCGGTCCAGGGCAGTGACCAGGGAAGAGGCCAAGTGCAAGAGCCAAGGAGTAGATAGAAGGGAGGAAACATGAAGGAATGTGGACAACTCTGCTGGCAATGTGGCGGTGATGGGGTGAAGGGGAGCTGGTGGTCGCTGGAAGGGGCTCTTTCTAAACGAGGGAGCTATTTGTTCCTGTTTGAGTGCTAATGTGATTGAGCCAGCTGAGAGAGAAAAAATATTGGGGTTTGGAAGGAGCAAAGAGCTTGGAGAAGGAGGGAATGGAGAACACATACATGAGCAGGGGATGGGTGGCTTCCCCAGAAGAGGGAGAGATGGAGGTGAGGGGCCATGGGAGGTGAGGGAGGTTTGCCTGCCTTCCCTTGGATGATAAATAAGGGTGGAGCTCATCTGCCCCAGGCTGAAGAAGGCAGCACTGAGACCTGGGGCCTCCAGGCCTGGATCTGGGATTCTCTCATCTTCCTTTCTGCTCCAGCGCCCCCTGCTCTGAGCCTTCCCTCAGCTGCCTTTGCAACTGAGGGAACCAAAAGAAAAGCTTGTGCTTTCTTAGCTCCCTCTGGGGTTGCAGTGGGAGGTGCTGGGGCTTGCATTTTCTGTTAACTCTGATGGTAATGGCATTCTGCAGGCTCTGAAAAGCCAGAGAATCAAAAATATCCAAATGGTACTCACCACATCCCAACCCATTTTACAGATGAGGAAACTGAGGGCTAGAGAAAAATAATATCTATGCCTTTTGAGCACTTTAGAGTATTAGCATATTACATGCTTTGTTTCATTCAATCCTTACAAGAGCCCTACAAAATAGATATTATTGTTATCCACCCAGTCACCATTCTACCCATTCATGCATCCGTCCAAGAAGCAGTTATTAAGTACCTGCTGTATACCAGATATTGTGGAAACTTTTGGTGAATCAGCAAAACACAATATGGGCAGGGTTTCTGACCACACGACTAATTGCATGCATAATTATCTGAATTGCAATTGTGATCAACAATATGAAGGAGATGGATATAGTAATGCACTAATGATAGCCCAGGGAGTCAGGAAAAGAGGAGAGACAGGAAGGGAGGAAGGAAAGAGGGAAGGAAGAAGGAAGGAAGGAAGGACAGACGGATAGACAGTGGGACCCATTCAACTGAGAGCTGAAGAACAAAAAGCAAAGGCAGGTAGGAGGCAATGGAGAGGGAACAGCATGCATGAAGGCACTATGTCAGGACACAGCAAAGCACAGGAGAGGAAGTACAGAGAGACCAGGTGGCTGGCATGTGGTGGAGTGGATTAGAATGAGCCTGTGAGTTTGCAAAGGCCAACCATGTGGGCTTGGAGGCCAAGATAAGAACCCTGGACTGCATCCTATACTCAAAAGGCATAGATATTATTTTTCTCTAGCCCTCAGTTTTCTCATCTGTAAAATGGGTTGGGAGGTGGTGAGTACCATTTGGATATTCCTGATTCTCTGGCTTTTCAGAGCCCGCAAAATACAAGAATAACAAAAAATACACGACGGATGCCATTGACGGTTTCGATCTGGAGGAAAGGGTAGGGGTGAATGGGAAAGACTTGCTCTGCTGGGGGGAAACTGGGGCTGGAGAGAAGATTCACCCTCCTAGCTGACTTCTATTGGATCCCTACTATGGGCTAAGCACTGTGCTTATCCCTTTCCATCATTATCCCATTTAACACTCACCTCAACTCTATGAGGGAGGAACCATCTCCCTCATTTTACAGATGGGAAAGCTGAGGCCCAAGGAAGCTTTCCCATGACCCACGCAAGTGTCCTGTGCCCTTGATCACCTGGCTGAGAAGTGGCAGGGGTGTGACTCATACCCTGGCCCTTTCAGACAGGCTCCATCTGCCCCTGGTGTTGACCTCTGTCCATGCTCCGCCCTTTTCAGACAACCGTTGCATGGACAGAAGGTTCCTGCCAGGCAAGTCCAAGCAGCTCATTGCTTTGGCCAGCTTCCCAGGTGCTGGCAACACGTGGGCTCGCCACCTCATTGAATTGGCCACAGGCTTCTACACTGGCAGCTACTACTTCGATGGCTCCCTCTACAACAAAGGTGAGGAGATGGCAGGGAGGGCAGGGCAAGAGGTTCCCTGGGCTTGGGAAGGTCCCCACTTGGAGGGTATGGGAATACTCCTCCTTGAGTATCTACTGTGTGCCACTCAGCTCTCCCAGGCACACTTTTTGAGACTCACTGCATGCTTGGTACCCCCCCACCTTCCTTTATGCCCCACAAACATTTCTTAAGTCATGTCCTGGATACTCCACTAGCATCCATTCAATAATTGACATTTGTCAAGTACTTATCCTATGCCTGGTACCTTTCCTCCATTTAGGTTACAACAAACATTTCTTACACACCTACTGTGTGCTGGTACCTCATTACAGATGTTTACTGACCAGCAACTCTTTGATGTAATAGAGGTACAAGAACTAAGTTCACTTTGGGGACATTTATTGAGCACCTACTATTCACCAGGTGTCCTCTCCACATTTAAGTCGACAATATTCGCTATGCAGGGTGCTCTATTTTCATTCCATTCACAGATGTTTACTGAGCACCGGAATGTTCTGGATGCACTTCCTAAGTTAGGTGTCCCAACATGCATTTGTGGAGCACCAACTGTGTGTGAGGCACCTCATGTAGGTTGAGATTGCCAAAGATGTTCTCTTGGCACCTAGTAGGTGGCCAGGTGCTGTATTCTTATTTAACCCTGCATAGAAACCCTGTGAGGTAGGATGATGATGTTCTTTCCCAGAAATGAAAACTGAGGCTTGGAGAGGAGAAATAACTTGCCCAAAGTCACACAATTTTTTTTTTCAACAAGCTGATTGGGGATTGCATTCTAGTGTTTCCCAGTTTCAAAGCCCACATCTTTATTACTCTATCACACAGGTAAGAAATTCCTGGGTTTCTTACTGAGGAACAAGAAATCATGGATGAAATGCCCCTTGGGCATGAAGCCCTCTCCTGGGCATGGTGGGAGACATCAGGGAAGCAAGGCCTCCTCCTGTGGGAGACTTTGCATCTACATGTGGAGCAGCCCTTGGCCATGGTCTTTGTGTCTGCAAACCAGCTGAAGACCACTTCCTGGCTGTGTGACCTTAGGCAATTTACTGTACCTACCTCTCTCATCCTGTGTCCTCATGCACAAATTAGAGATAAGAGTACGTACCTCATGAGGTTGTTTCAAAGCAGGGGTGTCTCATCTTTTGTCTTCCCTGGGCCACGCTGGAAGAAGAAAAATTGTCTTGGACCACACATAAAATACACTAACACTAATGATAGCTGATGAGCTAAAAATAAAATAAAAATAACAAAAAAATCTAATAATGTTTTAAGAAAGCTTACGAATTTGTGTTGGGCCGCATTCAACGTCGTCAATAAAAGTTGGCTCTGGGTACTCTGGTCTGGGTGCCAGGCACTAACCAGGCACAGCTTGGTGCTGATAGAGAGTCATCCGCTAACCCTAGCTCAGGGAGAGCCAGGGGGCATGTCTTTCTCAGGGTGAGACACAGGAGGGAGGCAGAGACTGGGGGAGAAAAGCAAGAAGGGTGAAGAGGGACAGGCTAATGGTTGGAGTTGGCAACGGGTCAGGCAGGGGAAGCTGCTTAAGAATCCTAGCTTTTTATATATTTATTAATTTCCAGTTTTGGCTTGAGTGATTGTTTATTAAGCACCTATTACTTATGAGGCTCCATGCTGAGGGTATTACATGCTTATATCAGGATTTGAACCCAGGGCTGGCTGTCAGCAGTCCCTATGATCTTAACCCCTATGCTGTGCTTCCTTGTGGGAGCTGCTGGGAAGAGCATTGGGATATTCCAGAATCCCTTTGGCTTGTCCTGAAGCAGTGGCTGTGGAATGCAAGTTCAGAAAGGATGCCATGGCTGGCCCACATTCTCACTGTCCTGGCTGTGGCAGCAACCCTACTCATGCAATCCCAGAATGTCACAAACAGAAGGGTCCCTCAGGATTATTTAGTTCAGGGATCAAAATTGGTTTCATCTAGTGTTGATTCCAATGAATTTTTGCTTAAGGATGATGTGTTAAGAAAGATTCTGAGGTTCTTCTATTCTCTCTCTGAAACAAAATGCCTTAATCTAGTAGTGACGCCTGTTGAAAGTAGAGAATGGGGAATGGTGGCCTATACACCAAGTATTCGCCATCTGATCTAACTCAACCTCCTAACTTCAGAGAAGAAGAAATGGAATCTTAAGATGGAGTCAAGAGATCTGATTTTCAGTCTGAAAGTTCACTCTGATACTTATCAGCTATGAGAGCTTGTGCAAAATTCTTCACCTCTCTGAGCTTTAATTTCCTAATCTATAATACAGGAATGTCAGTACTGAACTCAAAGATTTTCCAAAAAATATAACAAGATAATGTTTGTGAGATAATATGTGTGAGCCTGTGGTGTAAAATAGACATTTTTTAAATGCTATGTAGCCAGGACAGTCATTTACTTAGTCAAAGGCAAAGGGGGTTGGTCTCTGACTACACATTAGCATTGCCCAGGGAGCTTTTAAAGTCTTGACACACAGGCGGCATCTCAGACCATTTCCATCAGACTGTCAGGAGCGGGCCCAGGCATGGGTGTTTTCTATAAGCTCCCAGGGGATTCCAATGCAAAACCAGAGCCAAGACCCCTGGCCCTAGACAAAGAACCCAGCATTCTTACTTCCAGACCCAAAACATTCCAAAAATTCATTTTTTTCCTGTGTTTGTTAATACTCTAGTGTGGGCAATATTAATTGGTCATTAATGGAGTGAGACACCTACTAAAACTTTAACTTGATTTAAAAGAAAAAAAAGAAAACATAACCCCCCTGTGGCAATTCCCTGCCTCAAGCTGTGACTAGTTACTGGATGTTTCCTTCATTCGTACTGAGACAGGCAGGGGGTAGTGGGCTGGTCACAGGCAGCTGAGGCTTTGAATGTAGTTGCCTTTTCATTAGGAGCTTTAAAATCCTTCCCGCAGCCTGAGCCCTTGCAGTTAACATTGAACTCTCCCTGGGAGCTTGGAGTTGGCAGTAGGGGTATAGACAAAATGAAGAGCCGCTTGCCCCCCAACAGCATCAGTCAATCTAGCTAACCCTGCCCAGTCTCTCCCCACATCACCTTGCAGCTGAAAGATGCTTAACTTCATGAAATCCTTTGCCGCATTTGCCACACTGGGGCAAAGTTCTGCAGCCCCTTTCAGACTCCAGGTATAATGAGCTCTTTGTAGTTCAAGAATGCACTGGAGATTTGCACGTGCTATCATCTGTACAATGAGCTGATCCCCTGGCAACTCTTGCTGATTTATCTAAGTCTTTTAGAGTTTCTTTTCTTCTGCTACCAACTTGCTGGATGGCTGGACGCATGTTCCCCTGCCCCTGGAGACCTCAGTTTCCTGCTCTGTGAGAAGCATGTATCAGATGGGTGGTCTCCCAGACCCTCCTAGGCCTGACAGGCTGCCTGACATTTTCTCTCTTTCCTCCACATTTTCTGCAACCTGCTCTTCCCTCAGTCTGGAAAAGGGTCCACTCCACCAGTGAGCTGGTGAGGCAGGGAGGGAGGGAATTAATGAGTGAATGAATGAAGAAATGTAGGGACCTCTCCCTCCCAGAATCCAAATGTCTGTCCCACTTGGGTCTTTCTTCCCTTTCCCTCACTGGGTGCAACTGCCATTTGCAAAGCATGGTTTTCTCTGTCTCTGTGTCCATCTGCCATCTGGCGCTCTTTCTCTCTCTCTCTCATTCTCTCTCTCTCTCTCTAATTGTCCTTTCCTTTCTCTGCATGTCTACCTCTGCCCAGTATGTGCCTCTGCCTCTCTGTGCTTCTCTCTTTGTGTCTCTCTCTGTTCTCTCTCTAGGTGTCTATCTCCCCTTCTCTGTTTCTGTCTCATTTTATTTCTGTGTCTGTTTATCTCCCCCAACTCCTGCCTTCTCCCCGACTTTGTCTCAGTCCCTCCCTCTCTCCAGGTAACTGTGTCTTTCTCTCTCACTGTTCCCCTTTCCCTGGGCTTCATCCCCCCTCTCCCTGCCTCTCCCCATCTCAGAGACCTCATTGTCCTAATGCAGACTCAAGCTCTGCGGTATGTGAGGAGCCAGAGCCCTGACTTCTGAAGGAGGGGAGACAGAAGAGGGAAGGGCAGGATGATGTTCTCAGACTGGTACATCAGCCTACAGAGTTGGCAGCCTCTCAGCCCAGCTGATGCAGGACAACAATTTCTGAGGATTTCCTTGTCCTCAAAACAAATCCCAGTGTCCTGGAGAACCACCAGCCTTCAGGGGTGTCCATGCCTGGAGCCAAGATGGGACTTTCCTGTCCCAGTAAACTCTAGGGCATGCAGAGATGTGCAGTATCTGCCACTTCCCTTCTCTGTTCCTTAGCTCCCCTAACTGAAAAATGCACGAGCAACTATAGTAACAGAGGTTTGGAAGAGAGAAGGGAAAAACATGTCTTGTTCTCTCTGTGGCCCTGAACAAGATTGTTTCTCCAAATCCTGGGACAGTTGGGCAGCTCCTTAGAGTTTGAGGGTCACATGGGTGCCCAAGATAAGCTGATATTTTGGTGACTCTTAAAAGATAGGATTTAAATATATCATGTTTACGTCATGGAGATGCTGGATCCTGGGTGTTAAGGACAGTGGAGAGGGGGACACCCTAGTGGTGGAGTCCGGCAATTCCGCTCTGGCTCAAAGCTTGCATCCATGATTCCCTTGCAGTTACCTAGACAGGCCCTCTTTAGAAGACAATTGAGCAACTATCTGTTGTTCCTCAGGCAAACCTATTCTATGTGCCTTCTCAAAAGTTCCTTTCCAGACATAGTACTCTTCCCTCTCTGGGAGACATTCTGCTAAATGGAATTTTCTCTACATTTGCAGTACTCCTATAGATAAACTCCTCAGGCAACCAGAATCTGGAATATGAAACAGATCTTTCCCAATCTTTATAGCTTTTCTAGGTTTTTTGTTTTTGTTTGTTTTTAATCTTGATAAATACTGTGCTAAATTGACCCCATCATGAACAAATAGAAATATTGTAACTTGGGTCTCCCAATGCATGGAGCTGATTGAAAATAGTTTGACCATCCTTCCATGTTTCTGGCAATTTATTTTCCTTGTTAAGAATCTGTGTGAGTTCTGGTATACCCCCTGCCTGTGTTTTCCATTGCTGTGCTTATAGTGAAATAGATTTTGGTAAAGATAAAATGAAACCATGGATGGAAAGCCCTTTGTCCATGTCATGCAGAGCTCTACCAGAATACATGACACGAAATTATATCCAGGGTTGCCTTGCATAAATGTTTATGTCTGAAGCTGTCTCTCTCTCTCAAGCTCCCACATCCTATTCCTCATTCTCCTCTGGAGGAGATTTTTTCCATGACACTGTGCTTCCCATTGACCTCAAAGGCTGTGGGTTAATATTTTCTCATGGGCACGGGCCAGTGCTAATTTGCAAAGCTAGGCTTATCCCAGGCAACTTAACTTGGCAAGTCCCAGAATGGAACCTGACTGAAGAAATCACATTCCATTCTTGGCTCTTCTGCTCAGTGGCCATGTGAGAAAGGCTGCACCTCTATGGACCCCTGTCTCCAGGAACAGGAGCAGATATCAAGCCAGTCTTCACCTCCATCCATCTTAAAAGCCAGAGCACAACAGGGAGGGAAGAAGCCATACTCCAAGGTTTGATGATACGGGGCGACTTCTCAGTCCATGATTTCACCCTAAGTCTTATTCTGCATTAGCTGCCATTTATTGAAGTGTTACTGTGGGCTTCATTGACTTCTCACAATGGCCTTGTGAGGGAGAAAGTGCATGGACCCATTTTACAGATGAGGAAAACTGAGGCCCAGAGAGGTGACATGATATCCAGAATGACTCATTGGGTTGTAAACACAGCCAGTATCTTGAAGGCTTACTACAATAACATTTCTACCTGGCCTTAATACCATATCCAAATGCCTTAGCTTGCATGAGCTAAGGGGCACTTAGAGGGTGAAGGACACATGTGTGCCCAGAGCCCAGGTTTGTATTTCGGCTCTGCCTGTTCCATAGCTCTGTAACCTGGGCGAGTTATTGGACATCTCTGCCTCAGTTTCCTCATCTGTAAAATTCCTCATAGAATTGTTGAGAGGATTGGATTGCTTAATATATGTAAAGGGCTTAGACTAGTCTCCAGCTGCACAGAACTTCTCTCAGCTCCTCAGCTTTTGAAAGGAAAATCTGATCATGCCCCTCTTTTTTGCTTAAATCCTCTTAAGGGTTCTCCAGTCTTTCTGGTCTAGTGCTGGCCTCTTCATCACAGACCCCACAAACCTCTCCAGCCCCATGCTCCCCTCTTGCTACCTGCATTCTCTCTGCAGTCACTCATATGTGACAGATTTCTTCCCACCCACCACAGGCCCTTTGCACCTACGTTTCCCAGCACCTGGCCCTCCCTTCCCAGCTCTCTTGAGCTAGTAAGTTTCTCCTCATTTTTCAGTTCTATGCTTAAGCATCTCTTCCCCCAGGAAACCTTTCTGGATGCCACTTGACTAGGTCAGTGATTTTGGTTGAGCTGACTGGGCTGCCCACCTCCAGGCTGCAGGTTAGGACCATGTCTATTCTATGTGTCTGTCATCATCTGGGACCAATCCCCCATCCCCCACCCCCAGGGCATGTCCTTTCATGGTGATAGCAGAGCTCCCTCATGGAGAGTAAGCAGAAACATATGATGTGTCTTGAGACTGTGCTAAAGACCTACTTCCGCCCTCATTCTATGGGCCACAGGAAGTCACATGGCCATGCCCATCATCAGTAGGGTAGGGACGCTGACTCCCCACAAAGAGCAATCACCCAGTATATCACTGTCTGGCCCCTCTCACAGCACCCAAGCCTTTTCTCTTCTTTTCTTTTTTTGTCAAGAGACAGGGTCTCACTCTGTCATCCAGGCTGGACTGCAGTGGCATGATCATAGCTCACTGCAGCCTCAACCTTCTAGCTCAAGCAATCCTCCCGCTTCAGCCCCCCAAGTGGCTGGGACTACAGGTGCATGCCACCATGCCTGGCTAATTTTTTTTTAATTTTTTATTGTAGAGAATGGGGTCTCACTATGTTGCCCAGGCTGGTTTCGAACTCCTGGGAGCAAGCTATCCTCCCACCTTGGCCTCCCAAAGTGCTGGGATTACAGGCGTGAGCCACTGTGCCTAGCTAGCACCCAAGCATTAATACTGCCCTTTTGTAACACTCACCAGGGCAGTGGTTTTACATTTATTTGTGTTCACTATTTGAATAATCTAACTCTCAAAAACAGGAAGACTCGTGAATATTTTTGAAGACCCGTGAATGTTTTTGTAAGTCATTTTAATCCCGGGGTCCTAGCACAGTGCCTGGCACATAGTAGGTGCTCAATAAATACGCGAATGACTGAGTGAACAAATGCATGAGGATTCCCGAGGTGGCCCAGAAGAGAGTGGGGTGGGCTTCTTGCTTCCCCAGCTCACCAGTCCTGTTCCTCACCTCTGGCTGCGGGAAGGGTTTAAAGGTGAGCGGGACCACTGGCGCAGCGGACGGACCATCTGCATCAAGACGCACGAAAGCGGCCAGAAAGAGATCGAGGCCTTCGACGCCGCCATCCTGCTCATCCGCAACCCCTACAAAGCCCTCATGGCTGAGTTCAACCGCAAGTACGGCGGCCACATAGGCTTTGCTGCGCATGCCCACTGGAAGGGCAAAGGTACAGCTCGGGAGAGGAGGGGAGGGGAGGGGAGGGGCTTCGGGCTGCAGGGGGCGGTGGGAGGGTCCCGTGCTCCGGACCAGCGTGACCAGCAGGAGGCAATGCCTCATGCGAGGAACCCTGGAGGACATCCTGGAGGGCGCGTGTCATGCTCCAGTCCTTGCTTCCAGTAGAGTAGGTGCCTCCCACAACCCCCCACCTCCCACAAGCAGCACCTTCTGTGAGCCGGGCTGCTGCATCGCACAGGGGATTAAAATCATGGGCTTGGGAGAAAGACTCTTTGGGTTCAGATCTCAGCTCTACCACCTCCCATAAGGGCTCATTAACCTCCCTGAACTTACATGGCCCCATCTATAAAGTGAAGATTATAAAACTGTGAGGCTTTAAGAATTTTACAAACACTCAGTAGGTGTGACTTTCATGGCACTGGAGATGCTCATGAAATCGATGTGGGATTGATGGAAGCAGGTTAAAGAGCCCCACCCTGGGAGTCGAGAGACCTGAATCCAGCCCCAGGTCAGTGCCTGTGTTGCCACAAGGTCCTGAGAGCACAGGTACAGGGCATCATTTCAATGAACACTCCCAGGAACTCTGGGTGGCGAGGCTCAGAGAGGTTAAGTGACTTGCCCTGCATCACACAGCTGGGAAATGACAGCATTGAGCCCCAAGCATGGAACGTACTAAGATGACCTGGGTTTGAGATTCAGCTCTGGCACTTACTAGGTGACAGAGGGCTGTGTGGATCAACATTTCAATGCAGAGCAGCCACCCAGGGCAGTGGCCAGAGCTTTGAAGTCAGACCCAACTTCTGCCATCTTGAGTATTCTTAACCGTTCTCAGCCTCAAAGTCCCATATCCATTATAGGATGATCTCCACCACCATAATGAAAGTCACATCTACTGAGGGCTTCGGAAAAGGCTAACTTCTTAAATCCCCACCATAATCGCCCCATTTGATAGATGGGATAACCTAGGTCCAGGGAGGTTAAGGAGCTTTTCCAGGGTAAGGGGGATATAGGGGGTTGTTGTTCAATGAGTATAAAGTTACAGTTATACAAGATGAGTAAATTCCACAGTCCTGCTGTACAACATAGTGCCTCTAATTAACAAGAAGGTATTCTTTACTTAAGGTTTTGGTGAGAGGATAGATCTCATGTTAAGTGTTTTTTACTACACACAAAAACGAACAAAGAAAACAGACTAAAGGAAACTTCCAGAAGTGATGGAAATGTTTATTACCTGGATTATGGTGATGGTAACATGAGTGTATCCATATAACCAAAGTCACTAAATTGTAGATATTATGTGCAGTATTTTGTATATTAATTAGATCTTAATAAAGCTGGGGTTGGGAGAAGTTTTTCCATAAAGTGGTAGAGCTGGGATTTGAACTCAGGGAATCTTGCTCCAGAGCCCACGCTCTTCAGCACTGCGCTGTGATAATGGATTAGATGAACCATTGGTGGCTATGAATCACCCAGTCCAGAGCCCCCGACACATAGCAGGCGCTCTGCAAATGTGAGTTGTCCCCAGCTCATCCAGCCTCCAGGAACCAGGCTGCTCCAGTACTCCAGCCCCTCCCCAGAGAGGAACAGAGCAGGGCAGGATGACGTAACTCAGCAATTCACCCATAACACCCTCAACACTGACTTCGTTGATTAAAACCCTTGGGCCTGCCCCTCAGGTCCCAATTCACTCAAGGCGGTTTTTCTGTTCCTCCCTCTGCCTCACTCCTCTTCTCAGTGAGGGGGTGGAAGCTTGGATAGGTGGTGACATTTGTCCAGTTATTCCCAGGGGTAGAGAGGCCTCTGAATTATTTATTGGTAGAACAGTCAATCAAAAGCAAAACTGGTCACCAGGCTGAGATATCCATATGTGCAAATGGTAGTAGCCTGTCCTAAGAGCACAGACTCTGCTTGTCAAAGCTGGAAAAGACCTGGGAGATCAGTGACCTCGGTGGGCCTCTGTGCTGGCTGCTCCTTACGGTCCCTAGAGGAGAGTGGGAAAACCCCAGTGCCCAGGCTGCACCCTGGACTATTACTGGGTGGAGCCTGGACATCAGTATATTTTTTTTCAACTTTTATTTTAAGTTCTGAGTTACGTTTGCAGGATGTGCAGTTTAGTTACATAGGTAAACGTGTGCCGTGGTGGTTTGCTGCACAGATCAACCCATCCCCTAGATATTAAGCCCAGCATGCATTAGCTATTCTTCCTGATGCTCTCCCTCCCCAACACCGACAGGCCCCACTCTTTTTCCTTATTCAAAACAGCTGGGAGCTCTAAACCAATACTAAGGAAAGAGTCAGAACAGGCTGAACGGAGAGGCTGCAGGGAGTATGGGATAAGGGGATCCACCACACTCATCTCATATTGGGGGCCTGGGGTCCCATATGAGTCTGAGATGGGAGAAGGGATCTTCTCCAAGTGCCCCCTCCAAGGCCTGACCCAGGCATGCAAGGGCTCTGGTAGAGAGACTTCCTTAAAGAACAGAACCCCCAGTCTCCACTCAGCCCATTCTTCCCCTTTGCATTCACCATCTGGCCCCTGGAGACACTTGAGTTTGAGACCCTTGCTTTAAGGTCCTGAATCAGTGGCATCAGCATCCCTTGGGAGCTTGTTGGAAATGCTAAAACCCACTGAATCAGAAATTCTGGGAGTGGGGCTCCAGAAATCTGTGTGTGTGGTTTTTTGTTTTTGTTTTGTTTTGTTTTGAGACAAAGTCTCACTCTGTTGCCCAGGCTGGAGTGCAGTGGTGTGATCTCGGCTCACTGCAACCTCTGCTTCCCGGGTTCACGCTGTTCTCCTGCCTCAGCCTCCCAAGTAGCTGGGACTACAGGTGCCCAGCACCACACCTGGCTAATTTTTTGTATTTTTAGTAGAGACAGGGTTTCACCGTGTTAGCCAGGATGGTCTCAATCTGACCTCGTGATCCACCTGCCTCTGCCTCCCGAAGTGCTGGGATTACAGGCGTGAGCCACCGCGCCCAGCCACAATCTGTGTTTTAACAAAACCCTCCAGGTGATACCGATGAGCACCCTAGTTTAAGAACCATTGCTATAAGTCCCTGCTACTCAAAATGTGGCCTGTGGACCAGCAACATGGACATCACCTGGGAGATTTTTAGGCAAGCAAATGTCAGGCCCTATCCCAGGCTTCCTGGATCAGAATCTGCACTTTAACAAGATTTCCCCAGATACTTCATGTGCACTTTAAGGTTTGAGAAGTGCTGCTTTTGGATGCCCTCGGTGACAGAATGTGAAGATCACCCTGTAAGAGCCAAGGTCACCTAGCTATTGAGTGTGTCCACCCCACCATGCCCTTGTCACCCTCCCAATTACAGCTCAGTCCAGACTCCTAGAACCACCACCCCCACTCTGCTTTTGGTTCCATAGAGTTAATTTTACAATCTCCCTAGAGTGAGTTCACAGCAAAATTTTATGTGATATGATTATACAAGGTGAATTGTCCTGGATCTGTTTAATGAAACAGATACTGTGTTTAATCATTCCATGGGGAATTAAGTACAGTTAAACTATTAATCAGGCCCCAGTTCTTTCCATCAACAAGAAGATGGAGGGGAGGCTGGCCAGCCTGTGCCCCGCCAGGCACACCTGTATGACAGTTCCGGTGGAACCAGAACTCATTACCAATGTTCCATGGCTTTATTGCCCAGTTTGCAGACAGCAATCAATGATCAGGAATCCTGAGTTAAACGAGGGCTTTGGTTTTTAATTTTTCTTCTTCTTCTTTCCAATGAAGTAATTTGAGAGTTTCAAGAGAGGAAGCATTGCCATAGGAGGGGGCCAGGTGGACAAACATCTGCTGCTGAAACAGCTTGGATATCTATTGTGCTTTTGGAGGGATGTTTGGACTAAAATGATGGAGCATGTGGAGAGTCAGGAGATACAGGAGGACAAATAGCATCGTGGACAATCATAACACTAACCAGTATTTATTGAGCACCTTGCTTGTCCCAGGAGCCGTACCAGGATCTTTGCAAATCTTATTTCGCTCGATTTGCACAGCATCTGTAGGAGGTAGGTCTTATCCAGATCACCACTTTGCAGATGGGTGCACTGAGGCTGAAGATCGAGTAATGTCTCCAAAGTCACATACCTCATGTGGGGAGGAGCTGGGTCCTGAACCCCAGCAGTCTGACTGCAGAATCATCTATAAACAGACCCCAGGTCTCAGACAACAGCCTGAAGGTAAAGTGAGCAGTAGGCAGCCTAGAAGTCATGCTTCCCTGGTCCTGGAGTGAAAAGAGGGCAGGAGCTGATCAGACCAGGTGCTCTATTTTTTCTTTTTAAAAATTTATTTATTTTTATATATTTAGGATGTACAAGTGCAGGTTTCTTAATATATATAAGTAAATATATAAAATCAATATTTTATATATGCATGCACAAACATGTATATGTACCACATTTTCTTTATCCAGTCCTCCACTGAGGTTGATTCCATATCTTTGCTATTATGAATAGTGCTGCACTAAACATGTGTGCAGGTGTGTTTTTATGTAACAATTTCTTTCTCTTTGGGTAGATACCCAGTAGTGGGATTGCTGAATTGAATGGTACTTCTATTTTTAGTTCTTGAGAAATCTCCACACTGTTTTCCATTGGGCTCAGTCTGGGATAGGTGTGGGTTGGAACTCTGCCTTCAATGCCCGTTGTGTAGACTTGGGCAAGTTGCTCCTGCTTCTGAGACTCCTTTTCCCTGTGTCTAAAATGGAGCCAGTATTAAGAATTCCTACTCTCTAGGCTACTTGAGAGCACAGAATGAGATCATGCATGCAGAGTGCCCCACATAGCTCCCAACGCCCAAGAAATGCTCAGGCAACATACATTCCCTTCCTGCCCCTCAGACAGAGGCACCTGGTGTCCCACAGAAGTTTGCAGTCAACAAGGACACTCTGTCATCTCCATCCCACCTGCATCTAAGACTGGGATACCTGGAGCTACCTGAGAGACTCCTTCCTTTTTCTTGAGCCATCCTGCAGCCCTCTTTCAGCAACCACTTGAGATAGTGAGAGGTGGCCAAGCCTAGAAGTTTGGATCTGTGTTGTTGCTGGGTGCTGGGTGACAAGCACCGTCTCTATCACCTGGGCATCTCCCCTGAGAGTAGCAGCTGTTCTGAATCACCAGTGATGCTGTGAGGTGATGCAGGAGTGGGGAAATTCTGAAAAAGGAAAACAGAGCATACAACATGCTCAATTTTTCCTAATTACTCAGATACATCTGGTCTTAACCCATTATAACAGTACGGGCCCAATTAGCCAGATACATTATAAATAATCTATTTTAAGGATAAAAAATATCCTTGTCAGCAGCATAAATATCTCCCAAACAGCTGTGATGTTCCAGGGGACTTGGTGGGGAAGGAGTCTTGCCACAGATTCTGATGTGTTCTGCAAAGAAAGGGAGGCCTTCGCCACACTGCAATTTGGCAGTTGCAAATTTCAATTTAGTTCAACAACCGTTCACTGAGCACCTGCTGAGTACAGGCAGTGGGAGGAAGTGGTGATGAGGCTGCTGGTGCCTGGGAAAGATCCATCCTGGAACCAGGCAGGCCTGATCTGGACGGTCCTTCCTGGCTGTGTGGCCATGAACAAGTCACTTCACCTCTCTGAGCCTCAGTTTCCTCCCTGGTGAGGAGCAGACAGTAGTCCTTTTCCTTTCAGGGTAGTCAGCAGGATTAAATAAGATAATGGGTATCCATCACCCAGCAAGGGACTAGGACTTAATTTTTAAGAAGCAGCTGGGCTCCCCAGTGCAGCCTGGGGGACTCACCACCCTCGTTCAATAAACAGAGTTCTTCTGTTGCCTGCTCTGGCAGGCACCGGGTAGTGTTTGTCCTTGTGAGAAGCAGCAGGTCTCAGTTCATGGTTTTGGAGCTCCTGCCCTCTGATTCTCCAGCTGGGGCTCAGAATTGAGGCTGTGATTCCTCTTCTCTGTTCCCAACGCCATCCAGGTTCCCCTTCTGCACTTTCCCCAGCTCCTCCTTCTGCGGGAGTTTCAGCAGCTCCAGGAACTGACTGCCTCTCCCCATGGAATCCCCAGGTTCTCTATAACCTGTCTTTCAAGTCAGACAGTCCCAAATTCACCCTCCAAGTTTGCATGACAATCCATCCTGTCATTTCACCATGACACTTCCATGAAAAATGAAGAAAGGTAGGAAAGAAATGTGTGAAGATGATGATAAAAATAGTCCCACTTAAACCCTGCCCTCAGATAGCTTACCGTCTGCTGGGGAGACAGACTACAGAAGTGGGGGGTTTCTGCACAGCATAATGAGTGCTGTGGGGGGCTGCAGGGGACGGAGAGAGGAATTGTGAAACCCAGAGGAGGCACCCGCCTGAGCCCAGGGAGTCTAAGAAGATGACCTGAAAACAGAATAATATCAGTAATAACGATAGCCAACATTGATTGAGCACCTGCTGAACTCAACGTGCCATGCTAGAAACTTTGTTATATGTTTTTTCTACTTTGTACAAGAGCTCCATTATTATCCTGTGAGGAGATACCACTACTACACAGAAAAACTTAGTACTTAAAAGCCCAGACTTTGAAGCCAGACTGCTTAGGTTCAAATCCTGGCTCTGCCAGTTATTAGCTATATGACCTTGAGCAAATTACTTAACCTCTCTGTGCCTCGGTTTTCTCTTCTGTTAAATGGAGATAATGGTGATACCTCTTAAGGTTGTTGTGAAGATTAAGTAGAATTAAAAGCTATATTAATATATTTATTAATATATAAGTATGTAATCTAAAATACACAATATATATTAACATAAATAATATATAACATAATAATATGTTGTATATTATATTACAGTAACACATACTTATACATGGGGTTTGCCTGGCATATAGTAATCACCAAACAAGTAACATTGTTATCCCCAAAGAGAAGGTGGTGGTCAAGAATATTCCAGGGAGAAACAGCATTGAGGTGAGAAGTATCGGGGTGTGTTTAGAGCTCTAAAAGGAGTGAATTGAGCTAAGTTGTTATTCTTTTTGTTTTTTAGAGGCAGGGTCTTGCTCTGTCACCCAGGCTGAAGTGCAGTGGCATCATCATAGCTCACTGCAGCCTCGACCTCCTGGGCTCAAACAATCCTCCCACCTCAGCCTCCTGAGTAACAAGGACTGCAAGCATGCACCTCCATGCCCAGCTATTTTATTTTATTTTTTGTAGAGACAGGGTCTTGCTATGTTGCCCAGGCTGGTCTTTAACTCCTGGCCTCAAGCTGTCCTCCAGCCTTGGCCTCCCAAAGTGCTGGGATTATAGGTGTGAGCCACCTCACCTGGCCTGTATTATTACAGTTAATTGTTAATTGTGTTACCGTGTTGTGCTGTGAATAATGGTAACCACTGCCAGCACCATCTGACTGGGTCTTTCAAACTCCTCCTCCCTCTGACTGTGTCCTTTCTCCTCTCTCTGCAGAGTGGCCAGAGTTCGTGAGGAACTATGCCCCGTGGTGGGCCACTCACACACTGGACTGGCTCAAGTTTGGCAAGAAGGTGCTGGTGGTGCACTTTGAGGACCTGAAGCAGGACCTCTTTGTCCAGCTGGGCCGGATGGTCAGCCTGCTGGGCGTGGCTGTCAGGGAGGACCGGCTGCTCTGTGTGGAGAGCCAGAAGGATGGCAACTTCAAGCGCTCAGGGCTCCGGAAGCTCGAGTATGACCCCTATACTGCGGACATGCAGAAGACCATCTCTGCCTACATCAAGATGGTGGATGCAGCCCTCAAAGGGCGGAACCTAACGGGTGTCCCCGATGACTACTACCCAAGATGATGCGTCCACACAGGGGGAGGGTAGACTGGGAGTCCTGACCACGCAGGCCCTGGGGACTCAAGACCCCTGGTTACCCCCACTCATCTGTCCTCTCTTTGGTCTGGGGACAATCCCCTTGGCTGCTCTTTGCCTTCAATGAGTTTCCTGCATGACAGAGGAGGCTCAAGGGAAGAGATTGCCCAGGCACTACCACTCTGCTCACATGTTCCCCCCTTGGCAATGTGGGGCATCTTGTTTAGGGGGTTCTAGTTACATGGACTCTTTTCTGTCTCCTGGGTCCCTGCCCCCACCACTCTGGGTTCCATTTGTGGGAGGGAGGGCTCATCCACATCATGGAGACTTGCTGGATGCCCCATGGCAATTGTCAAGGCTCTTGATGCAAGAGCCCAGGGGGCTATTGTAAAAACTTGGCCCCAGATGCTTGTCCCTTCTGGGCTGAGATTTCGCAGCCCCCTTCTCATCTCCACCCAAGAAGTGCTGGCACCGATGTTTAACTCAGGCCACCTTCTGTTCTAAAGAAAGATTGCTGGGAAGTTTCTCCGTGGCCTTAGGTTTCTGACATCCTGGATAGTGTGGGGAGGTAATGGTGCTCACAGTAGGTTAATTGGAGACACCATGTGGGGCCATTGGTGTTATGAGCCCCCCAGGCCACACTGCTTCTCAGAAATGAGCTGCTTGCCTTTCCACCTCCAGGGCATGAACCCTGCCCCTTTCTATCCATGCTGTGTCCAGGAGGTGACCTTGAGATCCTGATACCACCTTCAAGGAACCTCAGGCACCAACAGTGAGCCCACGAGGATGGTCACATGCCATGTGCAGAATTTGACTTAAGAGAGAGCCCCAGTGACACATCTCTCCATGGTGGGCTCCAGTCAGTCTTACACTGCCCTTCTGACCCCTACAAATGGGTCCTTTGCTATCCAGGTGAGACAGCAAGAGTGTTCTTAATCAGATGGAACCACACCCAAAATGGACCCCCACTACCTTCCCAGACCATATATCTCCCCTTGATCATAGTCCAACAGGGCCAGCTTCCCTTGGGGGCCCTTTAAGGAATGGGGTGAATGAAATTGTGTCATTTCTATACAAACACTGCTCTCTTGATGCTGAAATGCCAAACCGAAGGATTTCTGAGGACCTAAATCACGGAGCATCAATCTTACAAAGTGTTGGTCCAGAGTCCCATCTCTTCCCCAACCCTGGATACCAGTAGCTTCCCACCCAGTCCAAACCTGCACCATCCATCATTATGTAGATGAAAAAGCCATAGGTCATAGCCTCTTTGCTATTCTATTGGAGTAGCCTCCCTAGGCAGTCCCTCTGAAGCCTTGGAGTGCAGGTAAATGCTCATTCCCAAGTAGCAAAGAGACCATGGAGAAGGTGCGTGTAAAGAGATATATTTTTGTAAGAGGAATATGATTAATACATTCCGCCCCTTGGAACCTGGCCATGCAAAGCAAGGGCACAGGGATTAGACCTGTGGCACACTTCCCCAATTCCCTCATCTGTAGGATTTGGGCTGCCCCAGGCCCACCCAGGGGGCTCTGAATGTATTTTGTACCGTGTTTCTTTCCCCCAGGAGAATTTTTAGTCTTCTTTCATGAAGCAGTGGAGGGGTTGGCCTCCCTTCTACTGGGAGGTTGACTCTCTCTGGGAGACTCTTGGTCCAAGACCTGGGTCAGTTCTTTGCTGGTGGTCCCCTCTGACCACAAGCTTCTGCCTGAAGATTCCTCAGGTCAACACCATCATTAAATGCGAGTTTTGTTGATGATTCTACCATGTGGTAGAGTGTTGTGTAAGACAGGTTCACAAATGGGATGTTTTCCTAGTGTGTGTGTGTGTGTGTGTGTGTGTGTATGAGAGAGAGAGAGAGAGACAACAGAGACAGAGAGAGGCAGAGAGGCATAGAGAGACAGAGAGAGAGACAAGAAACAGAGATAGACAGAAAATGTTCGGGGTGGCAGGCGGGTTGGTGTATAACTGCTTTGTGCCTGTGTGACTCTGGCATAGCTGCTCAGGGAGAATTACGTGCCTCTGTGTGTAAAATTGCCTTTGTGTTCTCCTGCCTTTCTATGTTTTGAAACTGTATCCCACAAGTTGCCGGTATGACCATCTTATTTGTAATGAGTCTGTGCAGGTCCTTGTGTATGGAATTGCACCCGTGTAAAGGAGGAAATGGTCAGTGTGCATGAAATCCATGTGTGAGAAGCTGCCTGTCTATTTTGGAGGGGGGGCACATCTTCTGCATATACCTTTTGTCCTTGGCTGCTGTGACAGGGAGGGTATGTGGGGAGAAGTGGTGGGTGGGATGAGGTCACTAGAGTGTGGTGGAAGTGTTCCTACCTGAGTATGTGCACAGGTATGGAAGAGGTTATCTATGAGAGGCATCCCTTCTGTGTATGTTTGTAAGAGAGAGAGTGTGTGTATGTAAGCAAGAGAGAGAGAGACAGAGAGAGAGAGAGAGAGCAACAGAGACACAGAGACAGACCCTGAGCATCATGCTTTGCACAGCCATATGCAGCAGGGAAGTCAGTGAGAGTCCAGGAGGACAGAGAAGTCTGCTCTGTTCCCTGGTGGGTGGGGATGAGTGTTTCTAAACCTCCACATACCGCTGAAGGAAGACCCTGTGTTCTTCCTCCTCATGCATCAGAGGGGCTTCTGTGAGGCGGTGCTGATGTCCAGGGGCTGTTTCCCAGCCAAAGGGAGAGGCAAAGTGTTATATACTGCCACATGGACAGCAAGCGGGGTAGGAGCTGGGCCAGGCAGAGGAAAGAGAGAGGGGCTTCTCCTCCCCCAAGCACGGAGAGCTCAGGAGGACTGAGAGTGCTGGGGTGACTGTGGTGGGGAGGGGAGAGGAAGATCTCAGAAAGGGTGTGAGTTTGTTCCAGAATCCAGAAGAACAGGGCCTTTCTCTACGGGTTCATCTTGGCTCACAAAAGTCATTCTGTGATGACTGATTGAGCTCTGATCTGGGGCCCAGGCTACACTCTGTCCCCAGTATTAAACCAAGTCTGACCTGGTCACAGACTGAGCCCAATCCTAGAGCCTTGAACCTGAGTCAAAGTTAAGCCCTGATCCTGATCACAGACTGAGCCCTAATCCTGTGCACATACTGATCCACAACCCCTCATTCCAGCCCCACATTGACTGAATCACATTGGACTGAGTCCCAAACTACTTCTACTGAGCCTTCACCCTAGTCATTGACTACACTCCAACCTGGGTCACAGACTGAGCCCTGACCTGCCCCAGAACTAATGCTGATAGTGTCTCCTGACTGAGCCCTAATCTCTGTCACGGACTGAGCTCTGATTCTGGTCACAGGGGGAGCCCCAGTCCTGGCCCTGCAGAAGTCATGATCTTGGTCACTCCAAGCCCTGAGCCTGGTCCTGCCCCTGATCTCAGATCAAGCCTTGACTTAGGTCACAGGCTGAGCCCTGAACCAATGTGCCAGTTTTCTTTCACTTTTCTAAATATTATCCATGCGACCAAATCCTCCCAACTGGAAGTGCAGGAAGCCATGCAGCTTCTAGCCCCAAGCTCTCACGGGTCCTTCTTAGAACTCTCAGATTATGTGCCTTATGCAACTCCCTGCTTTCCACCTGCCCCCAACCACAGATCACTGTCGGGTGGGAGGGGGTGGCGCGAAAGCCCTTTAGGCCATAGGTGGGGCTGGACAGTTTACCAGCCTCTTCTTCGGCTAATTTCTGCCCTTCCTATCACACTTCATCAGCCATCTGGAATAAGATCTTTGTATTTCAGACCCAGAAAGAACCAAGGTAGCATTCATTCATTCATTCATTCAGCACATATTTACTGAGCATCTACCATGTGCCAGGCAATGCTCTCAATTCTAGGAACTAAAAAAGTAATAAGACAGACACAAATCTATGCTCCAGCAATGTACGTTTTACCAGTACTAAGCAGGTATCTCAAAGTGATCAGAAAGCTTTCACGGAGAAGACTGTGAGTCAAAGAAGGAAAAGGACTCGAGTGGCTCCTGACAAACCCCATGAGGTTGTTACAACAGAGATCATTAACTCCATTTTAGAGGGGGGCATCATTGCTAAGAGGCAGGCAGTGGCTGGCCCAAGCCACACAGAAACTAATAGTGTTACCCACACAACCGGTGGGTTCAATTGTTTGGCGGGTGACTACAACCAAGGAGGATTTAACAGGGGGATTTTATTATTTGTCACGAGTAAGTAGGACACTAGAGATGGTTCCCAAAGCAGTGCTTCCCTGAACAACAGTGAACACAGGGCTCGTATTGAGCTGGTGAGCTGAGCCATTGTATGCAGAGGTGGGGTCAAAGCCGCAAATGTGCAGTCAAGGATCATCCTTCCACATATGTCGCATGCATAGAAAATGGCCAATAAGTTCTTCCCTGGGATTGGGCAGGGTGTGGGGTTAGTATGGTAATGAGGAGAGTTCGCCAAAGTTCATCTCCAACTCAGGCATCTGTGGATCCAACTGGGTTTTGATTTTCCAGGGCTGAGCTTCTTCCTGGAACTTTTTCGAAACAGCAAAAACTCAACGTGCAACAGTCACAAGTGGATACTTGTTCACAGTGCATTCCCCAAAACCCAGAAAGCCTAGGTTGCCATAGCAGAGCTGGGGCCACTGCTGTCTCCTCCAAGGGCCTAAAAGTCCTTTCCACATACAGAGAGTGACAAGGCCCTTGCACCCAAAGAAGAAGGAAAGCTTTGGATCCAAGCATTCCCCGATGTAGGGTCCATGCCTGGCCTGGAAACCAGGGCACCTGGACTCTCCTCCTGCTGCTGCCTGGGGCTCACTGTGGCTCCAGGACTCAGGAGAAAGACCAGGGCTCAGAATCTGCTGATTTGGGGGATTTCTTCTGGATTCTCCTACAACCCCAGAAGAGGCTGCACACACATCCCAGTGGAAAACGTGGGAGTGGGCAGAGGGGGAGGCAAAAAGGATGCTGGGAGCAGATCCTCAGGGACCCAGCCTCCTCCGGAGGCCCAGCACCCTTCCTTCCCCTTTCTCTCCTTCATTGTTTTGTCACCTCATCCCTCCCCCTTTTCTCTCTCTGTTTTTCTTTACCCAGCCTCCTGTTCTCAATTCCCCTCTTTGTGGTCTCTGATTTCCTCCAGCTGCTCATTAAATCTCTTTTCTTTCCTGTCTTTCTGCCCCTCCTTCTCTTCTCTCTTCTCCTCTTCCTTCCCCCCCTTTCTCTCTCTCCCTTTCTCTCTTCCTTGATTTTTGTTTCTGCCTGTGCAAAATCTCTCCATCTCTACCTTTTGATCTCTGAGCTCTCTGCCTCTCTCTACCCCTCCCTTCCCCCACCCCTGTTGTCCTCTCCCATCTCCTCATCCTCTTCCTGAAGAGTGGGGGCGACTCAGCAGGATCCAGACATAGTGAGACAAATGCTACCCAGGCTGGTAACCAAGGAAGTGGTTTCCTTAGCAACAGAATCTGCAGGCACGCGCTCCACTGCCCCAGCCCTTAGCTATTACAGTAAGAGAGAAAGAGAGAGAGAGAGAGAGAGAGAGAGGATGGGGGGGCGGGGGGGGGGGACAAGCCTTAAAACAGTAAAGAAACTGCTATGTGCTCCTCATGAGAGGGGACAGTGCTCAGAGACCAGATCAGTGCCTGGCACTTTGGGGGCACTCAAAAATATGAGAAGTGTGGGGCTTTGGGGTCAGAGAGAGGCACAGAGTGTGGAGAGAGCTGGGGAAGAATCTGCAGGACACGGTGACACACTGGATGTGGGGATGGGGAGATGACAAGACAAAGAGGACCCCAAGGTTCTGGCCTGAGCAGCTCCAGGGAGGGAGCAGAGGA
The DNA here is from genome assembly GCF_000001405.40 of Homo sapiens. Classification (NCBI taxonomy): domain Eukaryota; kingdom Metazoa; phylum Chordata; class Mammalia; order Primates; family Hominidae; genus Homo; species Homo sapiens. The sequence goes on from NC_000012.12 coordinate 108,254,152, forward strand.
GCCAGGGAGAAAGGGAGAAAAGAGGTTGAGTTGGCATGGCTCCCTGTCCCCGAGAGTTCACCACCTAAGCTGGGGGTGCGGGGAGGGAAGGTATAGGGATGACAGAAATATCTCATTCAATTCTCTCTTATAAATAGGCAACGAGGAACATGGGAGAGGGAACATGTATAGTTTTAAATTGCTGAACTCTGAGCAGTTAAATGATTTGCTCAAGAGACACAAAAGTTGGTGGCAGCACTTGGATTTGAACCTGGGGACGATCCAAGGCCTGTCCAGAGGGTGGAGGGGACAGAAGAGGGCAGAAGATGCAGAGAGAGAGAGAGAGAAAGAGACAGAGGCAGAGAAAGGACAGAGAGAGAGAAAGGACAGGGAGAAAGAAGCAGAGAAAGAGAGATTTACATCATTGATCTTGCATTTCTTCCCACTGGGAAAACAAAAATATGTTCACTTTTAGAGCAATGAGAGGAGACAAAGGCGCCCCACTGTATGATAGCTTTGGTGGTTATAAATAACTGTCCCCAAAGAAAACACCTGTCAAGACACATTCACTTCCAGAGAGACGAATTGTATCCCCAGTCCATGTTGATATTTAAATGACTCAGAGTAGATGTCAGGGGGCGGAGGGCAGAAAGTTGATCAATGTAACACAGAAACCTAGCTCAGCTTTCCCAAAAAGCAATAAAACGGGTAGGTGCGGAGAGCTGTAAATCTGGATGATAATAATATCCGTCCTCGCAAAAGCTACATGTTTGTTTATCATGTTTGCAGGTTTACTATTGCCCCTCGAATTTACAGTCAGCAATCTGCCGGTGAACACAGGGAGGAACACGAGAATGAGAACAAACTGGCAGAGCACTGAGGAGGAAGAAATGATAAAATATTTATCCCCTCACCCCACCCGCTCTGCCCCGGTTGCCTTAAATCCAATTTCAAACAAAGGTGGTGATTTATCCAAGCAGGGCTGGGCAGCTCTATTTCAGGCCTCTGACAGCTAATTGAAATGAGCAGTCATTACGGAATGGAATGTGTTGCAGCAAAATGATTTTTGTGTATTCTGGAGTCATTTGCTGAACAATTATGGAGAAATGAACAGTCAGCCAGGGGTGAGACAGAGGGTATAGCACTTGATGGCGACAAGACTTTTGCGTGTCCTTTCAAAGTGGGAGACAAGAGGGAGGAAGGGAAATTCCTTTCTGAGACATAAGTTAGGTACCTAAACTGTTACCGTAATTACCTGGGCTTCCAGAACTTGGAATGCCTAGTTATTATCCCAGACCTCCTGAATCAGATTTTCTAAAATATGGGGACAGGAAGTCCTTTTGTGTTTCCCAAAGCTTCCCAAGTACAGGCAACCCTGCAATAAGAGATGGTGCACCAGGAGGGTGGGTTACAATGATCCTGTAGACTTGCTGTGAGGCAAAGGTGTGTTTACAATGGACCTCTTGATAACTACTGGCCCCAATGTAGGCACTGCTATGACAACAGAGCACAAAGCATTGTTGATATTATCCGTGCATCCATGGCTCTTCATGCATTTTGATCTATGTATTCCTATAGTTAGCATAGTACCTGGCACATAGTAAGTGCTATGGAGATGTCTATTGATTTTCTGAATAAGTGAATCAAGGAATATTAAAGGATATTGAAATAAAAGCCACAAGCCACTTGCCAGACCAGGCCTGACCTAGTCCTTTAGCTGCCCTGAATATTACCTCTAGTAATATAGAATTGTTTTTTATTGTCCCAACCCCATCTTGGACCCCCAAAGCCAATGGTGTGGTGCAGTCCACCAGCCCAGCCCTCAACAGCCAACATATCTCTTCCCAAACTCACATTCAGTGGCATCCCATGGGTAGTTTAAAATTGGCCATGGTAGGAATATACACCATGGAAATTGGCAAATGCTACAAATCAGGTTTTTCTTTTCATTTCTTCCTTCCTTCCTTTCTTCCTTCCTTCTTTCTCTTCTCTCTTCTCCTTCTCCTTCTCCTCCTTCTGCTTCTCCTTCTTCTTCTTTTTTGGAGGTTTAAACAGTTAAGTATTTACCAGCACACCACTGCCCAAAGCACACAGGCACGTACCATGCTATTTCTTTTCTTTTCCATGTCTTCATTCATACTGTCTCCTCCACTTGAAAGCCTTTATGTGACTGATGCCTTGGCCTCCTTATAACTTCTCTCAGCCTCCTCCTCTTCCAGGCAGCTTCCCCTGACTACAGAGACCAGATTTGATTCCTCCTCTAACCTCCCTAATCACAGCTCTGGACATAGCCATTTAGTTTAGTAATCTAGTGTGTGTGTGTGTGTGTGTGTGTGTGTGTGTGTGTGTGTGTGTCTTACAAGGATATGAGCTTCATTATGATGAAACAAAATCTTCATTTCTGGATTCCCATTGTGCCTCCTGGCACAGACTATATGATGTGCAAATGTTCAGCTGATGAAAGAATGAATACATTAATTATATTTAACACCATCTACCAATCTGTTGGCCTCATAAATCTTTGAGTCAGTGGGTAGAAGGATCTGGCCTGCCCAGAGATTGGCCAAGGAGAAAGGGAAACAAGAAACTACAGTGATGATAGTAGCTAATATTTATTGAATAATAACTCTGTGCTGAGCACTATGATGGGAGCTTCACATATGTAACATCATTGAAGTATCCCTGGGGGGCAGGGATTCTTATTGCCCCTATTTTTCAGTCGGGGAAACCAAGGCTCAAAAAGGTGAAGTTATTTTCCCAAGGTCACACAGCTTGGAAATAATGGACTTTGAACCCAGGGAGTCTAGTTTCAGAGTCCATATATTTAACCACTATACTGCATCCTGGCGGGGGCCATGTGTGTCCAGAGTCAAGAAGACAGGGTGAGTCTTGCAAGGCAGCAGTGAGGGTTCTGGTAGCAAAGTGCTAGCCTTTCTGGGGCTGAGGACCCGTGGGGTGAGGTGAGATGAAGATCAGGCCACCACAAGGGAAGCAGGCTGGGAGCTGGTGGTACAGACGCCTTTGGGTTCTTAGCTGCACAGTTGGTTTATAGGTTCCCATGGCAACTGCCAAGCAATAATCTCTTATTCCACAGCTCAGTGGTTCCCTAGAAATTCTTTCCTCCTCGCTTCCACCACCACAGCCCCCAGCCCATGGAGGCAGGGTGGCAGTTTCTTCTCCAGGAATGACTTACACTGGAGAAGAAACCATAGCCCAAGACCCTTTTGTTACAACAATGGAGGAGGGAAATTTGAGAGGAGGCAGAAAAAAAAGAGAAAAGGGACTTAAAATCTCAAAAGTCATATCATCCAACTGGGAAGGGGCTGGGAGAGGAAGAGGAATTCTCAGACCCCCTTAAAAATCTAATGAAAACCATGAGTTGTTTCTCCAGAAAAATGAGTGCAAGCACATATACACATGCACGCACGCAAAGTTTTATGTATAGTTTTAAGGAACATTTGGACCCCTTGGGACCGAAATTAGGAAATTAAAAATCAACGAATCCAGTGGTTTCCAAATTAGGGCAGTGGAACCCTATCTTTAATCAAAACCAAGTGCAAAATCCTAATCTCTAATGGTGGTTCTCAAGCAGAAATGATTTTTCACCCCAGGGGATATTCAGCAATGTCTGGAGAAATTTTTGGTTTTCATAACCAGGGGAAGGGGGAGTTGCTGACGTCATCTAATGGGTAGAGGGCAATGATGCTGCTCAATGTACTCCAATGCACAGAACAACCCACCACAATGAAGTGTGATCTGACACAAAATGTCAACAGTGTCGACTTTGACAAGCGCTGGTGTAATATAATAAATAAAGGTGAGGAGTGGGGGATGGAACACCTCCAGTGTCAGACAAACCTGATTTACATTTAGACTCAGCTGTGTGACCTAGGACCAACTGTCAAATGTCAGAGAGCCTTAGTTCTGTCATCTCTAAAATGGAGGTCATCATGGAGTTTAACTTATGGGAGTGTTGTGTTAGTCACCGTGCTATATACACAGGGGAAAAAAAAAGGCGACAGTATTATTATCTTTATTATCATCGCTATTATTGTTAGTGTTGTCATGGAAGATTTTACAAATTAGGAAATCAGCTTGTAATAGCTCAGAGAAGTGTCTGCCATTGGCTAACTTGAGGGGTCAAGGACATGATTAAGCCATGAAGTGCTTTGTCAGCTGAAAACCTGGCACAACAGTGTGGTCATGAGGCTTTTTTCCTCTGTGTAGTTTATAAACTAGCCCTACAGGGTATGAACTTCTCTCAGTAATGTCAAGTGGGGAAACCTGTCATAGGGACTACCTTGAAGAAGCCAGAAAAACCCATGTGGACATGTCCAGTGTGGTGGATTCGTGCAAAACCTCACCTTATAATTGTACAGATATATTTCCCACTTTCACCTATTCAAACTTCAATATTCATCCATGGAAAAAATCTTGATTCAAGAAATCTAAGTATGTTGCCTGTCTTTGCTTGGGGTCCTTTGAAAGCAGAGCCTGTGGCAAGGATTTGTGTATAGGTTGTTTAATTGAGAGATGGCCCTAGGGAGCAGGAGAAGTGAGACAAGAAAGACAAAGACCAATGTGTACTGCATTATCAAGTCATGACTTTGGGTCGTGAGGGTGTGATTCCACTAGGATCTCCTAAGAAGTATATAGAGTGCCTCCCAGGATCAACTGCCAGAAGGAGTTGGGAGTATATGTTCATCAACTCTCCACTTTTACTAGTTGAGGGTTGTCCCTGGGGCTAATAACTCCCCTTGCATGAGCCCAAGCAAGATACAACCAAAGTTCATGACACTAGAGAAGCCAAGGGCCAAAAGTAGGGTGTGTGGCATTTGCTTGAGGTGAGAAACAAAAGAGGGAGTGAATGGGAAGCCTTGCAAAATTGATCTATGCCAGCCACAACTGAAATTGGAAGTGGGCTGACAGGTGCAATTTAGAGCACCAGGTGAAATATTACAGCACATAGTACTATGGACACAAAGTTTCTGAGGTTCTTGCTGGGTTTAAGTCTCACCTCCACCAAATATGAAACTCCCTGAGTCTCAATTTTCTCTTCTGTAAAGTAGAAGTAATGGTACCTATCTCACAGAGCTATTGGGAGAATGGAATAAGCTTGTGTTTATGAAGCACCTGAAATACAGTAGGTGGTCAGTAAGCAAGAGCTACCACCCTTATGCCTGAGGAGCAGGCCTGGTCTCAAAGCAGTTTTTATTGGGTATGGAATCTACTCCACTTTCATTAACCTGTTTGACATGATTTATGTCAGACACAGAGTAAATTCCCAGAAATGAAATTTGGTGACTCTGGGGAACCCTGAGGCCAAAGGTCAAAGGAAGGACAGATTGGCAAGAGATAAAGGGAGAAACAAATCACCGGTAGGCTCTCTGGTGTATCTTCCACTAGAAGACCACATCAGAGTCATCCCCAAGTCCTTATTAGTAGCTAATATCCAGAGTAGGTTTCACCTGACATTGTCTCGATAGAACAGAAATAACTTTTTCTTACTTTCCAACTAAAGAAACTACCAGACCATCAGTAGAGGATCTCAAATTCACATGGCAAGAGGAGACAGATGTGTACCACAAGTGAGTTAAGTGTGAAGTAATTTCACATACTGAACACAAAAGAATACTTCTCATTTCCACAAAGAAATATATTCTACCCCTGTAATTTTCATGAAACATGGGGTTCTCATAGCCTTTTTTCAATTCTCACTTTTGATAAAGACATATAGAGAAATGTACTTCTCTACTACAAGAAAAATATGCCGGCACAGTACTAAATGGCAGCTAACTCTATATCAAAGAACCAATAGGGAGTGGTGGGAACAGGATATCATCTGTTTCAGTGACATCACAGAAAAGTATAGAGTAGGGAATTAAAAGAATTAGTCTCTCCACTAAAACAACCATAAGGTGGTAAAGACTGAAAGAATAAACGTTTTGGAACTTGGGAATTTAATCCAAAACTTACAACAACCAAGGGAACGCTTAATGAAGAAAAGAGAAGCTGAATTTCACTATTTAAGGAAATCTTTGTTGGGTCACTGTCTAACCACTGAGATGGTGGAACAGAGACTTCACTGACCACACATGACAAGGAATACAGACTTTGCGAAAATAATTTGGAAAAGTTACTAAACAAATGAACAGTTGCAGCCTCCAACAATCAACAACAGTAAATCCTGGGAGCAGGGAAAACATGATATCCAGAGTTACCACTATATAATACTCAACACAACCAGCTTTCACAAGGCATGCAAAAGAATGGGAAAGTATGACTTAGTCAAAGGGAAAAATAAATAAATTAACAGAAATCATCCCTGAGAAAGCCCAGACGTTGGAGTAACTTGACAATAACCTTAAATAAATGGTTCCAAATATATCTGAGCAATTAAAGGAAACCATGAACAAATAACTAAAGTAAATCAGGAAAATGATGTATGAATAAAATGAGAATATCAGAAACAATATTGAAACTATAAAAAGAAACCAAATAGAAATTCTAGACCTGTAAGGTAAAATAACTGAAATCAAAACTCACTAAAGGGGTTCAGTAGCTGATTTGAGCAGGCAGAAACAAAGAATCAGTGAGCCAGAAGATGGAAAAATTAGAATGATCTGGTCTGAGGAACAGAAAGGAAAAAGAATAAAGAAAAGTGAACAGAGCCTAAGGAACATAGGACACTATCAAGAATAACAACATATGCATATAGGAGTTCCTGAGGAAGGAGAGAAAGATAAAGGGATATAAAGAATAGTTGAAAAAATAACAGTTCAACACTTCACAAATTTGAATAAATACATGAATCTATACATCCAAAAGCTCAATAAACTCTTAGTAGAATAAACTCAAGGACATTCACTTTGAGATATATTATAATCAAATGGCCAAAAAACAAAAACAAAGAGAACCTTGCAAACAGTAAAAGAGAAGTGATTTGTCCCATACAAGGAATCCTCAATAAGATTAACAGCCAATTTCTCAACAGAAATCATGAAAGCCAGAGGGCAGTGAGACATTAAAAGCCCTGAGAGAAAAATAAAACTGCCAACAAAGAATTCTATATCCTGCAAAACTATCCTTCAAAAATAAAGGAGAAATGGAGACATTCCTAGATAAACAAAAGCTGAGGGAGTTCCTTGCTAGTAGATCTGCCCTACAACAAATGCTAAAGGGATACATTCAGGCTGAAATGAAAAAACAGTAGACAGTAACACAAGGCCATGAAGGATTAATGAACTCTGATAAAGGTAAATACATAAGTAAATATAAAATCCAGTATTGTTGTGTTTTTATATAATTTGTGACCCTACAACACAAAGGTGAGGAAGGGAGATGGTAGAGCTGTATAGGAGAATTTACATCCCATGAAGGAGATGGCTACAACTTAGCTTTAGTCAATTATTCCTACATAAGCTACAGTTTCCAGAGCTTCCAATTTTTTCAAGAAACTTTTAGGTAAAATCTCTTACCTTTTTATCATTTAAAACACAATGTTGGTCAAACAGAACATATTTATAGATTACATGTGGCCCCATGATCAGCTGGCTTGTGAACATTATACTGGAGAAGCCCGAAACCGATGGTATTTTACTCTCTATGATCTATACATAGCTTCAATCTTCCTTCTGCCTCTTATTAAGTTTATGAGGCCAGAAATCTGCAGTTGACAATAAGTGGTTGCCCTGGGGAGGATAGTGCCTGGTCTCTCAGGAAGAAAGGCAGGGCTTTGAAGAGGGAGGATAAAGGTTTCTGCCCCAGAGGTAGAACCCTCCGGATCACTCTGAACAGGGCTTTCTTGATCTGTAATCTAGAAGACAGGTCCTCAGTATATGGTGGTACAGATTGTGCACTGCAAACTCTGGTTGGTGTGGGACTGCTGGGAGGTAGTGTATGGCCTGGGGTCTAATTCCCTTCCCCCAAGCAGGTGAGTATGTAAATTAGTCCCAGAGCTAGAGAACCAAAGCCAGAAGGGAGCTTGCAAACCACTGGCTTCAAACCCTTTATTTATCACAGTGAGATTGGGACACTGATAATGGGAAGAACTTGCTTGAAGCAAAACCAGTGGCTATGATGAGTAAAGAATTGCTGACATTAAACAAAAATTGAACCAGTTCAGGCACTCTGCTAAACACTTTACATAGACGAACTCAATTAACCTTCACAATTCTATGGCATTTTGCACATGGGGAAATTGAAACTCATGGAGGTGAAGTCACTTGCCCAAAAGTCACACAGAGGAATAGAGATTCACGCCCAGGCTGTCAGCATCAGAACCTGTGCCCTTTATTTGTTTATGGATGTGTAGTCTGCACAAGAACAGCTCATCCCTGTTCCACTGGGCATTGGCTGGCAACGAGAATCTTCTGACTGCTCATCTCTCATATGTCAAGGGGTTGGAACACCTGGGCATCTCTCTCTATCCCCATGTGGTCTCTCCAGCATGGCGGCTTCATGGAAGCATTTCTTATTGGTGGTCAGGGATCCCAAGGCATGTGTCCTGAGAGAGGGGGCAGGCAAGTGTATTGATTTTATAGATCTAGCCTCAGAAGCCACAGAGCATAATTTCCTCATAGTCACAAGCCCACCCAGATTCGAAGGGAGGGGACATAGACTCTATCTTTGATGGGGAAGGCAACATTCCACTGTAAAAACAGTACATGGGATGTGAGATCATGGTGTAGCATCTTTGAATAGTATTAGCTGTCATGTTGGGTGAGGAAAAGTAGAGAAACTTTGGGGAGAACTGACTCACCGCAACTGGGGCACAGTTCTGGGATCGCCCTTGGTTTGACTCACTATTTGCTTCAAGGTACCTCAAAAGGGTATGCATGGAGATCAGAAGTAGAGAATTGCGAGTTGTAGAAAATTTCTGGAAGGGGCTGGATGACGTCTGTATGCCCCTCTGAATCCACTCCCCTGCCTCTCCTCCTTACCTTCTTCTCAGGAGGTTGACCTGTGTGGGCTGTGTCAGAAGAGAGCTGGCAGGAGATTGGGGACGGGAGCAGAGGGAGGTAGGAAATTTATTCTTCTGGCCTCCTCCCTGCAGGGCAGCTGTAGGCTGGCTCTGCCTTGGATCACACCCTTACTTTTGCTTCTTTGCACATTCTCTCCTTCCAAGTTCCAGGAGCTGCCCCTTTCCTTCCTCCTTTTGAGTCTGGAAGTGGAAACAGTTTCCTAGGTCACCACACTCTCCTGAGGGTCCCCCACACTCTGATGACAATTTCATAAACATCCATCCATAATAAAATCTTCCTTGGATTATCCTAATCTCCTCCTGGGATTCTGACTGAAACATACAGAGACTGACATCTAGTTGCCTCTCTAATATCATTCATTCATTGATTCATTTATTCATCCATCATTCATTTATTTGCATGTTCACTCACCCCTTGGCAATTATTTGGCTCACACAGTCACTCCACACTGCACCCTCCCTCCACTTATCCAACACACCCCACAAAAGCATCCAGTCCCCTGCCTCCAGATCCAGGCTGCTCCATGAGGACTGAACCATAGTGTGACTTTTCCAGCAACTCTTTCTTCAGCCAAAATCTATGTATTCCCCTCTCTAATCATGGAACTGGATTTTGTTCAGAAATACTATACCAACAAAGCCCTGCCTTCTCCAGGTCTCAGTCCTCCCCACTGTAACCCCAAGGTGGTGGGCTGAGTGATCCCCTAAGGATTCAGTGCATCCTTGAAATGGGAAGTCTAGGGGTGTATGCAGGACTTGGAATCGCATGAACCAACTCACTGAGAGAAACGAGGTCCAAGAGGGGAAGAGCCTTGCCCAAGGGCACATAATATTTCACACCTACATTCCCTGTTGTCAAAACTCTGATTTAGAGGGGGCGGCAGGATTGTGTGCCTTCTCTCTGCATGTCAATGGGCTGAGTGAACCAAGGCCACAGGGCCCCAAGCTGAGACTGGCAGGAGCCTGACCTAGGAAAAACCGCACCCAATTCCTTGCCTTTGTCGGCTTTCCTGGAAAGCCGACCATCCACCCTTCCCTCACCTCCCAGTTCTGTGCAAAGTGTTTAATTAATAAACATACCTTTAAAGCAAGCTGGTGTTACAGAGAGAGATGGTTAAGTGCTAATTATTGTTATCATAGGCCGCTTTCCACCTCATTAAATACATGGATTTGGTAATTGTTAGCTAATTCTAAAGAGAAACCAGGGGCCCCTCAAATGTTAGGATTATGTCTTTCCCCAACAATTGACCTAATTCTCAAGCCACAGGATGGCAGTCTGGTTGGTCTCAGGGCCTGAATGGGGTCCTGTGGAAAGCAGATGGGCTCCAAGCTCACCTTCCTGGGTTCAAGTCTTGACTCTGCCACTTCCCAGTGGTGTGGACCTAGGAATGTCATTTCATGTTCTTGACCCTCAGTTTCCTAATCTAGAAAATGAGACAAGCCTATCAAAGCCATTTAATCAGTATTGTCTATTAATACATCCTGTACCATGGGCTTAGTGTTTTCTTTTGTCATGTTCTTTGGTCAGCTTTATTAAAGTATATTTCACATACAACAAGGTTTACCAATTTCAGGTATGTGATTTGACGAGTTTTGACAGTCACGTATACAGCCACGTAATCACCATCACTATCATGCTATACAACATTACCATTTTCCCAAAAAGTTCTTTCCTGACATTGACAGTTGATTCCCTTCCTCTGCCTTATGACCCCCTGGCCACCACCAATCTGCTTTCTATCACTACAGTTTTGCCTTTTTGAGAAATTCATATGAATGGAATTATACAATGAGTCTTGTTTCTTTCAGTTGACTTCCTGCTATTGTGACTTATCCATGTTGTTGCATGTGTGAGCGGTTCATTCCTTTTCATTGCTACACCGTGCCCTGCTATATGGACATACCACAGTTTTTTTGACCATTCACCAATTGTTGGCAATTTGAGTTATTTCCAGTTTAGAATAGCTGCTATAAACATTCACATATAGGTCTTTGTATGGACATAGGCTTTCATTCTGTTGAGTAAATACCTATGAGTGAAATTGCTGGGTCAAAAATTAAGTGTAGGTTTAACTTTATTTTTTTTAAAAAAGAAACTGTTTCCCAAAGAGGCTGTACCATTTTGCATTCCCACCAGCTATGTATGAAAGTTCAGTTGCTTCACATTCTCACCAACACTTGTTATTGTCGGTTGGTTTTTTGTTTGTTTTGTTTTGTTTTGTTTCTTAGAGTCTCACTCTGTTGCCCAGACTGGAGTGCAGTGGTGTAGTCATAGCTCACTGCAGCCTTGAACTCCTGAACTCAAGTGATCCTCCCATCTCAGCCTCCCAAGTAGCTGAGACTATAAGGTTTATGCCACCATACTTGGCTAATTTTTTATTTTTACTTTTTGTGTAGAGACAGGGTCTTGCTATATTGCCTAGGCTAGTCTTGAACTCCTGGCCTCAAGTGATTCTCCCACCTAGTAGCTAGGATTACTGGCATGAGCTACCATGCCTAGCCATGGAATTGTCAGTCTTTCTACTTTCAGATATTCTAGTGGGTTTGAGTGACATTTCATTGTGGTTTGTATTTGCATCTCTCTGATAAGGAATGATACAGCACATCTTTACACATGTTTACTTACTATCTCTATATTTTCTTTAGTGCAGTGTCTGTTCAAATATTCTGCCTGTTTTTTAATTTGGTTGTTTGTCTTATTAATGAGTTGTAAGCATTATTTACATATTCTGATAACAAGCTTTACTGAATATACATATTTACATCAAGTCGATGGCTTCCCTTTTTATTTTCTTAACAGTATTTTTTGAAGGGCAAAAAATGTTCATTTTAACAAAGTTCAACTTCTCAATTTTTCTGTTTTAATTTGTGCTTTTTCTGGTCTATTTAAGAGATCTTTGTTTAAATTTCACATGCTCTTGTGAACCCAGGCATATCAAGGTCTCCTAATTGCCAGTGGCTTCCAAAGAACATTACTGTCCATTTCTCCCATCCTCTCCCATTCTCTCAATTCCCTTCTCCTTGGCATGGATTCATGCTTTGTATTTTCTGTCTCTCTACCCTACCTCATTCTTACCATCAAAACACATCTACCCTCTGCCTCATTCCCTCTCCCAGTTGGTGGACAGCTTGCTAATCTGTTTTAAACAGGGATAACTATTCATGTGCCTCTATTCTTAGTAACTTAGTTACCTTTCCAAGGAGACCTGCAGGTGGTAGCTCCTTACCCCAAGAGAACAGTGTTCATGAAAACATTTTTTCTCAGTCATTACAGCAGATTGCTGGGAACCATTTGGTTCTTCTCCTGATGCTAAAAGTACACCACACCGGTGGATGCCTCTGGGTGAGGCCAGAGGCTGTACTTGGGAATTGGCAGCAAATCAGTAGAAGGTGTATTGTTGACAAATTGGATTAAAGCTAGTAGCTTGTTGATTTCAGCTAATGGCTGTTGCTCCCTATGGCACTGGTTGTGTCTCTCAACTTGATTTCATAATGTGAGTGTTGTTTCTAACTCATTGGATGTGCTAGGAACACCTGACCACATTGCCTTTATTGTCGAACAACTTATAGTTTCCAAAACTGTTTTAGGTTCATACCTTTTTTGATTATTTCAAACATACTCAGAAGAGGTATTCTTGTTTTCATTCTGTACATGAGGAAAGTGAAAACAAGTGTGGGTTAAATAACTTGCCTGAGGTTGGACAGACAGACCTTGGTAATGCACCACTGACCTTTCTGTCTGCTCCTGATAATGATGTCCCTGAAAGCCAAAATTTATGGTGCATTTACTTTTTGCAGGCACTGTTTTAAGTGTTGTCCATGCTTTATCTTATTTGTATTGGCCAGCTATTGTCTTGATAACTCTGCATTGCAAACCATCCTAGGTCGGTGATTCAAAACAGCAATCATTTATTTTGCAGGTTTAAGTGTGTGCTACAACATGGCAGGGCCAGGCTGGACTTCAGGTCTTATGCTGCAGACTAAAGGTTGAGCTCCAATTTTTCCATGTAGGTTGGTTCTGGGGTTCAAGCTGAAGAAGCAGTTACTACCTGGGGGAAGCTTTGCTCATGACAATGACAAAAGCACAGGAGAGAATTTCTAAGCACATTTGTAGCCTCTGCTTGTAACACATCTGCTAATATCCCATTAGCTAAACAAGTCACATGGCAAACCCAAAATCAAGGAATGGGGAAATATACCCTGACTCCAGCAGAATGAACTGCCATGTCATATGGCATGAAAACAAGTAGGGATGAAGAATTAGAGCCAGTAATTCAACCTACCATGCCACTTAATCCCAACAACTCTAGGAGTTAGACACTTTTATTTTTCTTATTTTACTGAAGAGGAAACAGAGGCTGTGTCAAGAAGGTAGTAGTGAGAGGGGGTGGAGTGACACTGAGACGTGCTAACCCCAGACTCCAGCTCTTAACCACTTATCCATTTCCCGATGAAACAGTGCTCTACAGAGAGGAAAATTAAGCAACAGATTTGTCCTCCATGGGCTGTGTGATAGACATACCGTGTCTACTGTGTCAAGGGCTTTATCCGTGGTCCTGAAATACCCTTTATGCCTAGGCACCATTGTTTCCTTTGGGATGCTTATAATTTCAATCTATCCCTTCTGGAGATTCTAATTCAGGTGAAGAAAGAGAAAGACATGAACAAAAGTAAGACACATAAATGCATACAGGCTGATGGTTTTCTGAAAAGACTGACTAGGTGAAGATAGGCTGTTATTTGGACAAACTTTCAAGTGGTGGCAGCTCCCAGGAAAGAAATTGCATGTGAGCATGATAAGAAAATCTGAAGAAGAGTGGAAACCATGTGTATCCAGTGGCACAGAGCTGTGTGGGTGGCCACACAAATAAACAAATCCTTGAGCGCAGGAGGGTGAACCAAGCACCACATAGGCAAATGCAGCATATTGGTGTGCCAACCTCAGTTAGTTACATAAGTATGCTCAGTGCTTTTCTTTTAATCTTGATGAAATTCATGTGTCATGCAACAAGTGGAACTTTAACTTATGTTCCACTATTCATATGGCTGATTTCATGAGTCTTTGACAGTCCCTTCATGTTTCTGAGCTACAAATCATCCCTCTCCCCACTCAGGGACACTAGGGTGGGAACCACAGGCTCCTTGGTTCTCCTAGTGTAATTCTTAAATGTATGGATATAGGTCTAATCCACTGAATCCCCACTATAGGTAGCCATATTTGTCATCACAGGTGTATCTGATCAACATCTAGCTGGTCTGAGGTATTTAAGCCCAGGTGTTTTGTAGCATATGCCCTAAGAACTAACCTGCTAAACCATGTGGTTGATCATTGAAATGGAAAAAGCCACTTCCTTAAAATGGGGTTCCTGTGGACCTTTCAAGGTCATACATTTAAAATCAGGAGGATCCTCAGATACCACATGTGTTACATTGTAAAAATGGTCCTAGTTTCTTAATCCTCCTTACACCCTGCATCATGTGACTTTGCAGTAATTTCCCACTCCATCTGTGGGTTTGGCCACGTGGCCTGCCTTTGTCACTGGGCTGTTAGCAAATATGATATCATCAGAGGCTAGAAAAGTGCTTGCCTAATTAGGCTTGACTGCTGTCTTTCATGTCTATTACCTCTGCTGAAAGGTGAGACTTAGAGAGGAAAGCTTAGTGACCCAACTGCCCAAGCTGATTCCATTCTAGATCAGCCAACAATCAACTGTGTACCAGACATATGAGTGACCCCAGCCAAGATCGGCAGCATTCTCTAGTTAACCAGCCCAGATGGTGAGCAACAAGCTCTTATTGCTGTATGCACTGAAATTTTGTGATTGTTACACAGCGTCATTGCAGCAATAGGTAACTGACACACCACCATCCTCAGTTTGAAAACAGGATTCCCCAGAGATCTGTGGAGGTGCCCAAAGGGAGGTAAGTATAGGAGGGAAGGTCTAAGCTTCCAGGTTTGCTTTAACTACAACAGCTCTGATTTCATCTTCACATATAAGGTTCCATGCAGGGTTTCATAAGGCCAAACAATCCCTATTAGTTTGAAATGCTTTGGACAATAAGTAATAGAATATCTGACTCACAGTACTTAATACAATATCTCACTTAACAAGAAGACTGGAGATCAATGGTTCCAGGCCTAATTCAATGATTCAACAATGATACGAATAGCCTAGACCCTTTCTCTTTTATTTTCTTTTCTTCTCTTTACTTTTCCTTATCTGTTTTCTCATTTATTTATTTAGTTTTCATTCTGCCATCCTAATGTGATGATCCTTTGAACTCATGTTGCCTCATGGCCTCAATAGAGCTGCTACAGCCCCAGGCATCAATGACTACATCTGGAAGAAATGTAGGAAGGAAGAAAATGGAAAGGGGTTGTCAGTCAAATTGCCCTTTCAAACCTATCACTTTTAGTCAGAAAGCAAAGTGTCTTTTTCAGGACCACTATTTCTGCAGGCTATCTCCTCCATCACTGCAGACTTCTCCTTATACCTTATTGGCCAGAATTGGTCCCATGATCACTGCTAGCTCTAAGGAAGACTGAGAAGGAAAAGATGGTAAAGGGGAAAGGGAGAAAGATGAAAGGCTTTAACAAGTCAGGGAGTCAGAATTTAACCCTTAGGGCTGGTCATCAAACAAAGCAGAGCTCTGTCAACAATGAATAGACTGGGAGTGGCTGTGGGGCTAGGTGGGGGACTCTAAAATGTACTGCTCCTTTCAATGAAGTCCTTGGGCTCAATTGTCAGTTATTCAGGGATTGCCTCAGCTTTCAAGGTCATGCCCTTCCTGGGGCAGCCCTTATTGAAGGACTAATTGATATAAGGTAAAAGGTCTGAACACACAGCACAACTTAAGACAACTCCCAAAGAGGCATTCTATGTCTCTAAGGAGTCAGCTGAAAATGTCATTGAGCCTGCATCACAGCTCAACTTCTCTCTCTGGCTGGTTCCACTTCCTTCCCCATCCTTCCACAGGTGTTGATCCAAGGGCACTCCCTTAAAAAAAAAAAAAAAATGTCCTGGACACTACATTCCATCTCAGAGTCCACTTATCTGAAAAATCCAACATGCAACAGGTAGACAACCAAGAGTGTGCCCTATATCAGCTGATAAAAGTTTGCAATTCACTGGACTAGCCCAGGGAACATCAAATATTTTTACGTAACAGGTAAGATAGCAAATATTTTAGGCTTGTGGCCATAAAGCCTGTCATGACTAATCACCTCTGTCTCTGTAACACAAAAGCAGCCATAGACAATATGTAAATGAAGGAGCATGGCCATGTGCCATTAAAACTGTAACTACAAAAACAGGCTGCAGTCCACAGGATATAGTTTGTCAACCCCTGGACTAGCTCAACTTTTCCATTTTACAGTTGAGTACATTGGGCCCCCAGAAAGCAAGAAATTAACATTTGCTCTTAACAGCTTTTGACAGGGTGCTAGTACAAGCCCCATTTGACAGATGAGAAAACTGTGGCTGAGAGGTGAATAATGTCTTCAGGATCACACAGCTGTGAAAAAAGCAAGACCAGCTCTGGAACCCAGGCCTGGCTGTCTCTGCAGACCAGACTCCACCCTACTGCCCTGCTCTGATGCAATTGGAGGCATGATACCAGGATTTTTACTTCCTTCCTCAGATAAGAATTTGTGTGTAAACAAAACCCCACCACACTTCAGGACATATGCCTTGGCAGTCAGGCCACGATGCAGTCCAGGTCAGACAGTTCCATCCTCAAAAGCATCTGTGAATTGCTGCCCAGGCCAGTGATCACATAGGACCAGCACTCCCTGGATGGACCATGTGGGACCATGTCGGACCACGTGGGAAGGCACAGCTTGGGACATGAATTTTACTGGAATATAGAAGAAAAAATATATTCAGAGAGGGGAGTGTTATTTTTACATAAGAACAGGCTCAAATATAGCACATTGTCAAATGCAAAACAGTCATGGAAGTGTAAGACAAAATAAGGAAATGTTGATATAATTTCCCACCCAGGCTACAAGCTTCTGAGACCCATCTGCCCTGCTAGATGCCTCAGGATACCTGTTCCCCATCCTCCTGCTGGTCTCTTGAGGAGGCAGAGCACAGTTAAAAAGGCCAGCTTTGGGGGCAAGCTGGCTGGCCTCAAATCTTGGCTTCATCAACTCGCTAACTTCTACTAACTCAAGATATGGCCCTCGGACAAGCCCAGTCAGCATCACCTGGGAGCTGGTTAGAAGTGCAGAATCTCAGGCCCTGCCTCAGATCCTTGGAGTCAGAAACTGCATTTTAACAAGATCCCTAGGGGACTTGCACACACATTAGTTTGGGAAGTGCAACTCTAGCCAGCTCCTATTCATTCTTTAAATGCCACCTCCTCTGGGAAGCCATCCTGGCCCCTTTGGCTGGGTTAGGTGAGTCTTCATTCAGTACGTATTACACTTACAGGTGGCTGTCTCTATTTAGCTGGGATGTCAGCTAGATTTTGGCTCCCATGAGAGCAGGGGCTGTGACCGCTCCAACTGGCTCATGTTATTAGTGGCTGCCATTTTGGTGAACCTATTAAGTGGCGGGCAACTTACCAGCATGTAATGCTCACATCAAACCTACAGGGCAGAAACCAGTACCATCCCTTTTCACCATGGAGGAAACTGAGGTTCAGAGGATTAAATGAATTGCTCAAGATAAGCAGGAAAGTGACAGGGTCAGGGCTTGGGCCTTTGATCTCAGACCAAAGCCAGTGGGTAGAACCACTTGTCAAACTGTACATAGCAGGTGGGGAGGGAGAGTGGAGGAAAGACACCACCATCTCATGTGCGTCTGTGTAAAACATGGACATGAATACAATAGAGCACAATTTATTCAGCAGGAAGCCAATGCCTTGTGCAGAATGCCCCAGGGTGGGGGAAAGGGTGTGGATAGGGGCAGTCCAAAGAAGCAGAAAATCTGAAATCTCCAAGAGCCCTTTTTCTCCAGCCCCTCTGTGGTTTTTATGGTCACCAAGCCAAGCCCCCGTTAATCCAATTAAAATGGACTTGTTTATGCTTATCAGCTCTTTATTTGGTTTGTTTAAAATGTGCAAATTACCCAGGGGCCTCTGCGTTGCCTGAACCAAAAGGCATCAATAAGACTATTAAGTTAAATCCAATTACTTGCAGCTGCTGGAACTTGAGTCTGGTGGAGCAGAACAGAATTGGGGGAGGGGGAGGCAGGATTTGCTGGAGAGAGAGGAGATCCTTCGACCCCCTCACTTAGCCTGGCTCCTCTCAAGCATTTTCTGAATGTGGGTGGGAGAAGACAAAGAGACCCCATTTGCCATATGCTGGACAGTGCAACCTGTACTGTATCATCTAATTATCTCAGTAGCTCCACAAGGTGGGCACTATTGGACCCATTTTGCAGATGAAAGAACTGAGGCTCAGAGAAGTCAAGCAACCCTTCCAGAATGTCACACAGCTAGAAAGTGGGAGAGGCAGGATTGGCCCCTCTGCCTGGAATCTTGGAATGTCAGAGATCAGAGTCCCGAGAAGCTGTCTGGCCAAGAGTATGGATCTGGCAACACACCAAGTTGAGTCTCCACATCTGTAAAACATGCACAACCACGCCCACCTCCCAGGTTTTGGGGAGGAGTCAATGAAGTAATGTGAGTCTCCAAGAAGAGGACTCGGTGAATAGTAGATGATTGTTGCATGCTAACTTCCAATAATTGCACTGGTGTCAAAACTCATCTCCTTCCCTTTCCCTTTCCATACTTTTCAGAAGGGAAGGCTGAGATCCAGATAGGAAAAATGACCTCTGCAAGATTGCACAAAGACCCTGGGACAGGGTTAAGTCCCAGGACTTAAGCACAAGTCCTTGCCTCCTGGTCTAGCATCCCATTTCAGACCCTGTGCTGCCTCTTCATTTTGAAGATGAGGAAACTGAGGTACACAGTGTAGAAACCAAATGCCCATGGTCACTGGGTTCAGTGTTGAGCAAAGTAGCTTGGTAGCCACAGTGTCCTGGGCCTGGTTGTCCCTTAGCTGTGTTGCTTGGGCACATGGCTTGACTTCTGTGAGCACCTGGTCCTCATCTTTAAAAATGAAGCCCATCACTCCTGTCCCAGTGAACCTGTAGAGTGGGATGAAGTCAGGCAGATGAAGCCCTATGTAAGCCAGAAAGTACCATCCAGAGACACACTACAAAGAGCATCACATACAGGACATTTGGGGAAGAGCTTGAGCATCTATTTTCTTAGTCTCCAAAGGCCCCGGATGGGTTATTAATTCCTGGCAATCCTCAGACCCAAGGGACACACGGAGCACAGGAGAGGAGGACAGATGCCCAGGATTCCAGGCAACACTAATCCTATTACAAATGCATTAAGAACCTTAGGGAATCACACCCAGCACACCCTTTCCATGGATATTTTCCAATTCTGTCCCTGGCCAGTCCCCAGGTTCTCAGAAGTCTAGTAAGCAACTCCACATAAGTGAGCAGAAAAATTGTGTGCAACTGGACAGGAACCTGAGTACAGCAATACCAGGCTGTCCATGGATGAGGTTCTTTGTGGTGCAATGATCAACATCTGGAAGTCAGATGAAGCTGTGTTCAATGCTGTCCTTCGGGTTATCTCACCAGCTGGGCCACCTTGAGCAGGCGATGTCACCTCTCTGAGCCTCCATTTCCTCCTCTGTGAAAGGTGGAATAATTGTTAATAATGATTGAAGAATTTTTGGTAATTATCTTAATAATGATCATTTTGGCTTTTTATTCTAGCATTTAAGATCCAAAGCCTGTTGGGAATAGCAGAAAGAATTTTTAAAAATTGTATCTGATGACTCTTCTGGAAATTATGAAGGAACTCGTATGGTTAGGGTTTCAAGTAGGTGATCTTGTCCAATTGGCCCCCAGAGTTCATGTGCATGGGAGGAAGATAGGATCTGTTATGTAAGAGAAAGAATGATGTGATATTCTGTTTCTGACATGCAAAATAGAATTGTGCAGCAAGGTTATCAACTGAAGTCAGGCTATTGCCTTGAGGGAGGATGTTCCAGCTTTTATTCTCTTCCTTTGACACATGACAGCTAAGCCAGAAAGGATTGGCTTCTGGATCCTGCCAGAGCGAGGAACTGACTGCCTTCCTTCTATAACTTTGGGGCTTACCCTTAGATGACAGGAGAATATTACAAAGGGAAATACAGAGAAAAGCTGACCCTTTTCCAGAACCCAGGCTAGTGAAAGAAGAAGAGGGAGGGGATTCAGGAGCAGAAGAGCAGACTGGCCAGTTGTGCTTGCTTGGTTTTCCCTCTCCCCACTTTGTTCCAGGTGCACAGAGGGCAGAAGAGCCTCTCTGGATCACATCCCCACTTCCCTGGCTTTCTCGGGCCCCTCAGTTTTCACATGACATGGATGTGGGGTTGACAGTCAGCAGGGTAGCCATGGGACAGGTCTGGGTGACCTTCAAGCAACCATGCCCACCCTCCTGGGATACATCATCTCAATCAAAGCTGGATGGAGGGTGCTATGGCTTCATGTGTCCCCCAAAAGTGTATATGTGGGAAACTTAATCCAACAGTGTTGGGAGGTGGGATCTAATAAAAGATGATTGGGACATGAGAGTAGAGCTTTCGTGAATGGATTCATGCCCTTACTGATGGAGCAGATAAGTTATAGAGGCGGTGTTATTATAAAGCCAGTCCAGCCCCTGGTGCCTGTCTGTCTTTTGTGTTCACTTCTGCCTTCTGCCCTTCCACCATGGGATGGCCCATGCCAGATGCCAATGCCATGCTGTTCGACTTCCCAGCCTCCAGAATCATGAGCTAGATAAAATTTTGTTCATTATAAATTGTCCAGTCTTGGGTATTCTGTTATAGCAACAGAAAAATGACTAAGACAAAGGGTAAGGCAGGGGTGCCTTGAATGACAGGGTTTACACATAGGGGAGCCCAAGGGAAGCTTGTTGGCCAAGCCCAGAGTAAGCTCCCTCCATCCATTGTATTCTACCACCTGTGGCATGGCAAGCAGCACAGGGGAGAACAGAGGAGCCTAGTTGCTCCTCACTCCTCCATACTCTCCTAGGACCATCAAATCATGCCCACCTTCCATATGCCCAAAGCCTCCCCAGGAGAAAATTGAGGAGGGCAGAGTTTCAGAGAGGATGCATATGTTTATCCATAGAAGATTTGCCTCAGGAACTTGTAAAACTATCATTAGGACAAATATTTTAAAACTTGGTTGTATCAGTTTGCTAGGGCTGCCAAATCAAAGTGCCACAAACCGGGTGCCTTAAACAATGGAAATTTATCGTTACAGTTCTGCAGGCTGCAAGTCTGAGATCAAGCTGCTAGCAGGACTGGTTCCTTCTGAGGCCTATAAGAGATCTGTCCCAGACCTCTATCCTTGAGTTGTAAGTGGCCATCTTCTCTCTGTGTCTTGTCATGCCATCTTCTCTCTGTACGTGTCTGTGCCCAAAATATCCTCTTCTTATAAAAACATCGGTCCTAGTGGAATCAGGGCTTACCTCAATGGCCTAATTTTAAGTTGATTCCTTCCGTAAAGACCCTCTCTCCAAAGAAAGTCACACTGTGATGTATTGAGAGTTAGGCTATTAACATGTAAACTGGGAGACAGGGGATACAATTCAACTCATAACAGGGGTATAGCTTAATTTTTTAAACTTTCTTTTTTTTTTTTTTTGCCAACATAGGGTGTGTGTCAGAGAGGGAAGAGAAGACCAGATCAGCTACAGACAAATAAAATACATTTTCTTCACACAACCAAATTGAAGCAAGCATTAAACATGCAACCCCAATACATAATTTAGGCAGATTTGTGCAGCCTCCTGAATCAATGGCCTGGATTAGATATGGCCCCCCGGAGATAACAAAGCAAATGCAATCTTGTAGCTCCAGTTTTGAAAGAAAAAAAAAAGAATAAAACATTACAACAGTGAGAGCTAGCAATTTCTTTTTTTTTTCTTTTTTCTTTTTTTTCTTTCTTTTTTTTTTTTTTTTTGTGGAGACAATGTCTCCCTATATTGCCCAGGCTGGTCTGAAACTCCTGGGCTCAAGTGATCCTCCCACCTTGGCCTCCCATAGAGCTGGCAACTTTTTAATCACGTAGTTTTCCAGACCATGTGATAAGCTTTGTAAATGGACTATTTTGCAGAATCCTCATGCAACCCTGCAAAATGTTTGTTATTACACTCCCAATCTTACAAATGGGAAAACTGAGGTTCAAAGAGGGAGAATCATTTACCCAATTATAGTGGCTTGATTCCAGAGCCTGTGCATGTGATCACTGCCTGCCTACCATCCCCTCTTTTCCAAGCTGGCTGACCTCTTCTTAAAGGTTCCAAAGAGCTCTTCCCTCTGCTCTAAGAGGGAAGCAGGGACCCAGAGGCCGGGCTAGTGTGCAGAAAGCCTGGGTTAGTTAAATCTGCTGGCTTCCTAGGGCTTAAGTGTGGGGCCTCAGAAACTCAGCTGTACTGGAGCAAGAACCCATCAAGAAATTACAGAAACAATAATAAAAAGGAACTAACCTAAGCGTCCATCAGTAGGGGATTGGTCAGATAAATTGCAAAACTTCTATGTCTACTAGGCAATCACTTGAATAACCAAACCTGCATAGAGGAACATTTAGTGAACTGATTTTTTTTTAATTTTATTATTATTATACTTTAAGTTTTAGGGTACATGTGCACAACGTGCAGGTTTGTTACATATGTATACATGTGCCATGCTGGTGTGCTGCACCCATTAACTCGTCATTTAGCATTAGGTATATCTCCTAATGCTATCCCTCCCCCCTCCCCCCACCCCACAACAGTCCCCAGGGTGTGATGTTCCCCTTCCTGTGTCCATGTGTTCTCATTGTTCAGTTCCCACCTATGAGTGAGAACATGCGGTGTTTGGTTTTTTGTCCTTGCGACAGTTTGCTGAGAATGATGGTTTCCAGCTTCATCCATGTCCCTACAAAGGACATGAACTCATCATTTTTTATGGCTGCATAGTATTCCATGGTGTATATGTGCCACATTTTCTTAATCCAGTCTATCATTGTTGGACATTTGGGTTGGTTCCAAGTCTTTGCTATTGTGAATAGTGCCACAATAAACATACACGTGCATGTGTCTTTATAGCAGCATGATTTATAATCCTTTGGGTATATGCCCAGTAATGGGATGGCTGGGTCAACTGGTATTTCTAGTTCTAGATCCCTGAGGAATCGCAACACCAACTTCCACAATGGTTGAACTAGTTTACAGTCCCACCAACAGTGTAAAAGTGTTCCTATTTCTCCACATCCTCTCCAGCACCTGTTGTTTCCTGACTTTTTAACGATCACCATTCTAACTGGTGTGAGATGGTAGCTCATTGTGGTTTTGATTTGCATTTCTCTGATGGCCAGTGATGATGAGCATTTTTTCATGTGTTTTTTGGGCATAAATGTCTTCTTTTGAGAAGTGTCTGTTCATAAATAAAAATGTTATAGAACAGAGTATCTTTTTTACTAGATAGTTATTAAAAGATACAGACATATAAACTAGACTTTAGATTATAAACTAAAATGATAATAGTACTTATTCCTGGGTTCACAGGTAGTTTTCCTTTAATCAATCTTCCTTTCTTTCACTTTCTCTTTCTTTCTTTCTTACCCTTTCTTTCTTTCTCTTTATTTTCCTTTCTTCCTCCCTCCCTCCCTTCCTCCTCTCTTTCTTTCTTTCCTTTTCTTTTCTTTCTTTCACTTTTTCCTTTCTGTCTTTCTTTCTTACCCTTTCTTTCTTTCTCTTTCTCTCTTTCTCTTCCTTCCTTCCTCCCTCCCTCCCTCCTTTCTTTCTTTCTCTCTTACTTTCTTTTTCTTTTTCCTGGTTTATATATACTAAATTTTTTGCCAAATATGATGAGCTAATATTAAAAAAAGAGAAAAATTATTACTCTCAAGGGATAAGGCATTCTGATTTTCTGAGAAATAAGTTCTTACTTTTTAGGAGAGCCCACCCCACCAAACACCATAATTTTGCTCAGATCCAATAATTTATGTTTTCTCCTAACAAAAATGTGAATCTCCGGCCTGAACAGGTTGGTCATTATTTTTTAAAGTGTCTCCTGTCTCTTCTGTAGGAGACACCACTCAGTGCCTATCCCTAACCCATTCCCCTTCTTCCATGTAAATGAAACCCTGATCTTGTCTGAATGTCCACTTCTTTGTCCTGTGTCCCCTGGGTGGATCCTGATTGGTCTAAACCAATCTTCTTTCCTTATCAGTGATTGGTTTAGCAGTAGCCATGTGACCCAGTTCTGGCCAAAAAGGTGTGAGGGGAGTTCTGCTAGGGGGTTGGGGGCGGGGGCAGATTCCCTTGCAACACTCTGAGATAATCAATGGCTCTTCTACTTGATGCCATGGGCAGCTGCAATATCTGATACTGTGAGTGCCATCTTTTGACCAGGAGATATGTCATTTTGGGGACAAAGCCAATCCTCTGAAGATGACAGAGCAAACAGAAGGAAACACTCTGGATCCTTGATGCCAATATTCAGTTGCTGAGTTCTCAACCTCCAGGCATTCTTAGTATGCAAATGAATGCACTTTTCCTATAGATTCTACCGTTTTGAATGAGGTCTCTGTTACTTGCAGTCCAATGCATTCTAACTGATATAATCTTATTTCTTTCAAACTTTGCTTGGTTTATTTTAAACCGTGATTCCTAAGATAAATGTTAAATAGCATAGGGTATCAAGACTTTTATTCGTGTAATATATATTCCTAGCCTTTAAAGATATACTGATTTTCTGTTTCTGTGCTTCTCAAGTTTACAGGGATTGATGTGTCTGAACCAAAATATGAGAAGATGACTGAGCAGTTGAATGAAATGGAGGATCACATCATGGAGTGGGAAACCGGAGCCGGGCATGGACATGTCCAAGTTTTTGCCATGTCTCACTGCTAATGTATTGTGAGACTAATTTTTCATCAGAGATCCTGGGATGGGCTTGACAATACTGATTATAGGGCTTTTTATCTCTGACATGTTAAGATTGAACTAGCTGTTTCCATACATCTATCTATATCTGTGAGGATTCTGTGGCCAGCAGACCGAAATGAGGTTTATAAAAGGATAGAATGCCCAAGGAATTCAGGAATCAGAAAGTGGGGACATTTCAGATTCTAATAACCTGCAAAACCAATCGTCCCTATAGGGAGAATGGAAGAAGCTAGGGAGCCTCCACCTATTCCCTGTTTCTTTATCCTTTAACCTGCCTCAGTTCCTGCAATTTCACCTTTAGCATGCCATTCACTTGGGTTAAGCAGCATCATCTTTTACTGCTTTTTCAAAGGAAGGAAAAGCTATTGGATTAGGTCACTTTTCTGTTTTGAGAATTCAGGGATGGGAGAGCAGTTATTGACAGGTGCGTCATAAAACCCAGAATCAATCTCAACTCAGCAATCCCTAGCCAAAATGTGAGTCTTCTCTAACT
Organism: Homo sapiens; assembly: GCF_000001405.40. Classification (NCBI taxonomy): domain Eukaryota; kingdom Metazoa; phylum Chordata; class Mammalia; order Primates; family Hominidae; genus Homo; species Homo sapiens. The sequence goes on from NC_000012.12 coordinate 108,279,561, forward strand.
CCTGACAAGTTCAAGGCTTCATAACATGAAGTCTTTCCCTTTGCTCTGTCCTAATTCCTCTGTATCTAACTTATTTAACTCAGGAAGGATATGTAGTAAAAGAGTATAAACCACACAGTTATACAGCTGTGGGTTCAAATCTCAGCTCTGCTGCATGCCAATACATTGCAAGATTCATGAAGGTCAGGATGGCATCTGCAGCTGTATCCCCAGAGCCTAGCACATTGCCTGCCATATAGTAAATCCTCAATACAAATCAATGGGTAGATTCTGTGTGGTTCTGGGAAGCTTACTTGTTCCCACTGAACTTCACTTCTTCGTTTCTTTCTTTTTTTTTTTTTTTACTTTCATGCAAAATCTTTATTTGGAACATGTGTGTTACTGAGCAGGCCAGCCGCCATCCTGAAATAGCAAGGGTATTTACATTGTGCAGAGAAACATAACAGCTCCTTGAAGACATTCATCTGTGCTTGGCCGGTATTTTATCTGGTACTTTGCTCTGCTTCTCTCTTCCCTGTGCTCATTATTCTTCATGCACCCTCACTCCTTTTCACCTTAAGGCATCCTGTACCAGCTGACCTATGGGCAATGACCGAAGCCAACAATCAGCCGCTACCAATTGTGTCTTTCTGGGACCCATTCTACCTGCCTTAGGTATTAATGGTGCCTAAAGAAAGAATAAACAGATGAAAGTTTCTGTGGTTAGCTGGCCATGGTGGTGCACACCTGTAGTCCCAGCTACTTAGGAGGTTGAGGTGGGGACAGCACTTGAGCCCAGGAGCTCGAGGCTGCAGTGAGCCATGATCACACCACTGCACTCCAGCCTGGGCTATAGAGCCAGACCCTGTTTCAAGGAGAAAAAAGTTTCTTTGGCGTTGCCAAGCCTTGTCTTCACCAAATTTTAGAAGTTTTTTTTTTATTTAGTATTTCATTTTATTCTTCTACATATAAAATCAAATGGTCACTGGATTAGTAAATTTGAAAACTTTCTGTGTGTATTGACCATAATCTTAACTACTGTATCCTTGAAACATGGTATAAATTTTTGATTAAAAGTAATTCACTCTGATTTTTTTAAAAATCTACTTGTCAGCCAGGCACAGTGGCTCACACTTGTAATCCCAGCACTTTGGGAGGCCAAGGTGGGTGGATCATGAGGTCAAGTGTTCGAGACCGGCCTGGCCAACATAGTGAAACCCCATCTCTACTAAAAATACAAAAAAAAATTAGCCAGGCTTGGTGGCGGGCGCCTGTAATCCCAGCTACTCAGGAGGCTGAGGCAGGAGAGTCACTTGAACCTGGGAGGCGGAGGTTGCAGTGAGCCAAGATTGTGCCACTGCACTCCAGCCCAGACAATAGTGCGAGACTCTGTCTCAAAAAAAAAAAAAAAAAAAAAACTACTTGTCAGGAGCTCATTGCTTTGCTAGTGTCCACTGCTCAGCCAGAGATAGTGGTGAATGGCCTGTTTGCATTTCTTGAAAGATTTCCATTCTGCTGCTCAACACAGGTTTTCTGCCTTCTTTAGAGTCTGAGGTCCATCCTATGGTTTTCCTGATTCTGGAGAATGGCCTGCAGCCTCCCACTTAGGGCTTGACTGTGCTCATCTAGTCCATCCCAGGGCTGGAAGGGACATCCCTGGTGGTCCACAAAGGTGACCCAGCAGTGCCTAAACTTCCGGAGGTCATGATGGAGATTTGGGTCCCAGCCCTCTGCAGCATGCACAGCCCCTCATATCCTGGGAGATAATTATAGATGCATGCAGCGAAGATGTGCAGGCTCACACATCTGTTCTCCCAATGAAATGTAGCCACTTGCTGGGCACAGCTGAAGCAGGGACTCCAGGAGATGAACCAGGTGACCCTGTAGCACTGAGCCCGGTCCAGCTTCCAAAAGGAAATCAGGTACAGGAAGCACTGCTCTGCATGGAAATCTTAATAGCAACTGAGATTATTCAAAGCCTGGCTGGGTAGGATGCCCTTGTTGCTGGTCCAGAGGGACCCAGGCATCATTGTTTTGGCACTCCACCTTGCAGCACAGGTAGGTCTGGTGCTGCCCAGAGACTGAAGGATCATTGGTAAAATTGTAAGTGAATGTGTCTGAGAATCTCCCCCAGCATGCTGTGCAGTAATGCATAATTTGTATTCAGTTGCTTCCAAGGATCAAATAGCATTCTTTGGTTGTACACAAATTTGTCCCAACAGTGTTGAAATTCATCATAGTTCATGATCTTCATGCTGGCATGTGGACTGTTTTTTCTGACACCATCTGTGAAGCTCCTCTTGGTAATCTGCTTCCCAGAAGTAGTAGAGGTGGGCAACGAAGATGGTCAGGGTGACCTTGCCATCCTTGGCCAGGAACTCTGCCACGTTCCCTGCATACTCTGAGCAGGGACTCCAGGAGATGTACCAGATGACCAGGTAGTCCTGGTCACGATGCAGCCTCGAGTTGCAGAACCAATCTACGAATCTCATCTCTGGGTGGTGTTCAGGCTTGGAATAGACCTGGCCTCCAAAGATCCTTGCGTCCAAAGGGGGCTTTGAGGGGTCCTTCTTTGTTTTCATTTTGTAGCACAGCCAGGTGGTGTTCCAACCTGAGAGGATGGGTCTGTTTTCAAAGTTGTAGTAGAATGTGCCTGGATACATCCACTCCATCAGGTTTCTGATCTGAGGCTTCATGTGCAGCCTTCTTGGCAGGCTTGCCCTGACCATGATCTTTGTCTGAAATTTGTCCCCTGTCCCTACCTCTAAGATGTTTCTGCTTAGCTTCTCTGACAGTGAGGGCTCGAATTTCAGCTGACCCAGCATTTCTTCGTTTCTGAAGACAAGGTGGTTTTACCATTTAAGCTTCTGATAAGGATGAAATAGGTTGACCAATGTGGAGTTCCCTCTGGCTGCCTGTCACCATCCCTAAAATCCCATCACAAGTCAATCCTTCCCAGTAAGGCACTGGTGCCCAGGCAGTGGGCTAGGTATTGTAAACTGCCTGCCATCCACCAGGCTATCATCTGCCAGCAGGCAAGGCTGAGAGCCTCCATTCCACCTCCCTGTATGGAATTTGCTCCACAACCGCAGTCCCAACATCTGGAGGCAAACTGGAGACTTGTTCACTCATCTTGATGTTGCTCTGAAGGTGGAAAACATCTGCATAGTGGAAACCAGGGAAAAGATACCCTGGATCTGCCTCTTTCTGTGTTAGGCTTCTGGGCCCCACGGGACCCCCAGGTATTTGGCTGTGTGTTGGTGTCTTAGCGTCATCCAGTGTCCAGCACAGACTTTAATGCCCAGTTGACTATGATTTCTAAGTGAAGGGATAAACACAGGAAGTCTGTGGTCACAGTGGTACCAGCCAAACCCTTAACAGAAACCTGGTCCGGAAAAGAACTACAAAACAATATGAGGAGGAGGGAGGCATCTGGTTCCTTTATTTTCTGGCTGTAATAAATCAGACAACAGGGAAAAGAAAAGGCCAAGGGAGGTGGAAGCACTTGATAGAAACCTCCTTTGTCTGTGATTACTCTTTTTTTTTTTTTTCTGAGACAGGGTCTCACTCTGCTGCCCAGGCTGGAGTGCACTAGTGTGATCTTGGCTCACTACGACCTACGCCTCCCAAGTTCAAGCGACTCTTGTGTCTCAGCCTCCCGAGTAGCTGGGATTACAGGCGTGTGCCACCATGCTCAGCTAAATTTTTTTGTATTTTTAATAGAGACGGAGTTTCTCCATGTTGACAAGGCTGCCCTCAAACTCCTGGCCTCAAGCGATCTGCCCGTCTCAGCCTCCCGAAGTATGGGGATTGCAGGCCTGAGCCACCGCGCCCAGCCTGTGATTACTCTTAATGGCACAAGTAAAGAACTGTGTCTCCTCCACTTCTAAACTAAGTGACCTGCGACCTCAGTTTCCATGTTGGTGAAATGAGGAAAAATCCCACCCTCCCCAGGTTTCATTAAGATAGGAAAAAAATGTGAAAATACTTTGGAAACGGTGTATTATAAAAGTGATTGTCATGAAACTCGATGATGATGATGGCAAAAATAATGTCAGCTTATGATAATGTCTTCATTCATTCAACCAGAAGTTATGAGCAGCTTTTCTGGGCTAAGCACTGCTAGGGATACAATAAGGTGGCCAAAGTCCCTGCCATCTTGCTGGATCCAAGTAGGGGCCAGACTTAAGGCCACTAAATACACACATAATAATATGATTTCAGATGGCAGTAACTAGTATAAAGAAAACACTAATACAAAATAGGGATCTGATAGGCAGCGAGTAGGGATGGAGGCTACCTTAGCATGGCCTGTCTGAGGAGATGGCATTTGGACTGAGACCAGAAGGAGGCGGACGAATCAGTCATGCAAAGGGAAGAGGCAAGTGGGCCCAGAAACAGCAGGAATAGCAAGTGCAAGGGCCTGAGGTGGGACCAATCTTGGCTGTATTGTTGCTGTTGATCTGTTTGTTTCATTTTGCTTGAGAGGCAGAAAGGATCACCTAGCTGGAAAGCAGCATGAGATGAACTTAGAGAAGGAGGCAGTAGCCGATCACATAGGGGTTTTGATGCCATAGTAAGGGCTCTGGATTACTGTATTCTGTGATAAAAGCTCACTCTGGCTGCTTCCTACAGTGTGGGTTGAGGGAGCAAAGACAGAAGTGGGGAGGCCAGCAAGAAAGCCGATGCATATTCAGATGAAAGAGCCTGGCACCTGCTAAACGCTAAAGTGCAGCAATCTCACTGAATCCTCACAGCTGCAAACCTTTATCATGCCCTTTGTCATACAGAGGAGAAAACTGAGGCTTCGGAGGCATTGAATAGCTTGCCCAAGGTCACAGAGCCTAACTCTAACCCTGCCCTTAGCTGACGTAAATAGCAGAGCTTGGATTCGAGCCCTCGCAGTCTGATTCCTGAGCCTACCTGACCCGGTGTCATAAACATCAAAGTCCCTTTGAGTCAGGTGGTGAGGCTGGGGAGGCCCCCAGGAGGGCTTAGTCCTTCCTGAGACTCTACCTCTTTGGATGGATGCTGCAGGAGCCACTGCCCTCTAAAATGCTCTCTTGAATCAAGGACAAACCGTCAGACCTGGTCCTGTCCTGCCACTACCTGTCCTGGGTACCAGTGGAGGTGGGAACTCATTTCTGCAGACAACATGAATTATTTTATTTTTACAAAGACTTTTGCTGAGGCATAACTTACTATAGTGAAGTGCGTTCGTCTTCAATGTACAGATAATTGGGTTTTTACAGATGAACCCCCATTCCCCACCCCTTACCCCGTGTAACCACTATCTAGGTCAAGATGGGGAGCATCCCTCACTCATATTCAGGACAATCTTTAAGAGTAACATTTATGCCCCCAAACAAAGCATGTCTGCCCTACAGCAGTTTTTGCCAAGATCTCCCGCCTCCCCTTCAGCCAGGATTCTGCTGGAAACTCCTCAGGGGAGCCCAGACCCTGGGCAGAAATTCTTTACAGCAGATTAGCACCAAAGTGCTTGTCAATAAACTAAGAAGTGAAGCAGGGTGGCTTGGTGAATGCTCAGGTCTCTGGGGTGATGGTGTTTTAAGAGTGACTCAGGTGAGCATTTTCACACACTTCTCATCTCCCAGCAGTCAGTGAGGCAGGTGGTCTCCATCTTATTTGCAAAGAGGTCTCAGTTTCACCATCTGTGAAATGGGGGAACAGGAAGGGACAAACTTGAGGAAGTAGTCCTTTCCAAACGCAAAAACCCTAAGATTCTCAGGGTTGTGAGAAAGTGACAAGCCCATTCAAATGCAATTTCCTCCTCTCAAGGAAAAAGCAATTCCTCAGACTCCCCGACTCCCACATCTTCAAAATTTGACATGGGAAAGAGAATATGTTCTTGTCCTCTTCTCTCCAGGGAAGGGTCTCTACAGAGGACATTTTGCATTTGCACATTTCTGGGGAAAACAGCAGGAGCTTTCAAGATAAACATACTGGGGTTTGAATCCCAGCTCTGTCACTTACCAGCTGTGTGGCATCGGGCAAAGTCACTTCACCTTTCTGAACCTCAATCTCTTCACTTGTGTATGGAGATAGCAATACCCCTACTGTGAAATCCTTGTTGCAAGGACTCAATGAGACAATGAAACTGAAGAGCTTGCCCAAAACTTAGACAAGGCTGAATTAGTATTTGCTATTATTACTGCTGTTGCTGTTTCTGCATCTTTGAGCACAAGGTAAGTGTTTTATAGACCTGTGCTTCTTCCTCCCTCACCAACTCTCATCTTGCCCCCACCTGTCTATTGACTAGATACCTAGAGCAGTAGCTGCCTGACTTGTCTGGGGGTATCCCCATATCCCAGGGGGAGAGACTTCTGGAAGATTCCCCAGGACAGAACTCAGGTGACCCCCAAGGTCAAACCCCAAGTCCAAGTGCTTGGCATCTCATCTGTATAAAGTCCCCACAGCACAACCTGCAATTGCAGCATTAACATGCCTCTGTTCCTCTTAGGTTAATATATGTATTATTTATAGGGCTTTATTATGTGTTCAGAGGGCTCCCCTGAGAAATATAATTGTGCATTGGGTGGTACATTTGAATAATATTTACAATTAATTTCAGACAATAAAGCAATGCACCGAGGCCTCTGTGTAGCAGAAATGGGCCCTGGGTTGGTTTCCCACTAACCACTCCCCTGAGAAAGCTTGGGTAGCTTTTAAATATCTTTCCAATAGTCCATTTCTCTCCAGCATCGCTTCTGTTTCCCCAGTCCAGATTCCACCATGGCTCATCTGAGGCTGCAGTAGCCTCCGGGCTTCCCACTCTGCCCCTCTCCAACCTGTCCTCCCCAGAGCAGCTAGGGGCATTGTTCCAGCATGCAGATCTGAGCATGGCACTCCCCTGCACATGGCTGCCGCATCTCAGGGTGAAGGTCTCCCCCACTGCCTGGCCCTTCCACTCCACCCCCACCTGGTCTCACTCATCCTACACCCTCCTTGCAGCCAGCCCCCCACCCCCACCACTTCCCGTCACTGTGAGCATTGCTCCCTCTTGCATCAATGCCACTGCCCCTGCTGTCCCCTCCACCTGGAGCACCCTCCTCCTGCACCTCCTTACCACATCCGTGCCCACCCATCTTCCACATGTCAGCTCAAGTGTCCCCTCCCCAAGGAAGTTTCCTTAGTCTTTGGACAGGATCGGATCCCTCTATAATGTGTGTGCAGGCCTGGCACCATGGCTCACGCCTGTAATCCCAGCACTATGGACGTCTGAGGCAGGAGGATCACTTGAGCCCAGGAATTCAAGACCAGCCTGGTCAACATGGAGAAACCCTGTCTCTACAAAAAATAAAATAAAATAAAAAATACAAAAATTAGCTGGGTGTGATGGCATGTGCTTGAGGTTCCAGCTACTCCGGAGGCTGAGATGGGAGGATCACCTGAGCCCAGGGAGGTCAAGGCTAAAGTGATCGTGCCATAGCATTCCAGCCTGGGCAACAGAGAAAACATTTCCTGGGGTTGTTTCCCATTGGGGGACGTGTATAATTTTGATTATTGGCTGTCTCTCTCATAAGTCAATGAATGAGCTCAGGAGGACAGAGGCTGTGTACGTCTTGATCATCTCTCTGTATATAGTGCCTACCACAGAATTAGCAAAAGAGTAGCTGTTAAATACATTTTAATGGAATGGATGAATGGGTGGATAGATAGATGGTTATGTAAGTGAATGGGTGAGTGGATGGATGGCTAGGCGAATGTTGAGATGAATGGCTGGGTGAGTGGATGTCGGAGTCAGTGGGTAAGTGGGTGGATGAGTGGATGTTGGGGTGGATGGGTGAGCTCATCTTGGGATAATGGGTGGGTGGATGGGTGAATGGATCTTGCGGTGAATGAGTGGGTGAATGGGTGGGTGGATGTGTGGGTGGATATTAAAGTGAATGGATGGTGGATGTGTGAGTGGATATTGGGGTGAATAGATGGTTGGATAGGTGGGTGGATCTTGGGGTGAATGAGTGGGTGAATGGGTGGGTGGATGGGTGGGTGAATCTTGGGGTGAATGGGTGGATGGGTAGATCTTGGAGTGAATGGGTGGGTGGATAGGTGGGTGGATGTTAGGGTGAATGGGTTGGTGAAAAGGTGAATGGATGAATGTGTCACAGGAGCATCTGTCCTTGGGCCACCTGATGCAGTGCCAAAGAGTATAGACCTGACCATGAGGAGGCCTGGCTTTATGTCCCTTATCTGCTAGGGTTTACTATATTATCTTGGGTGAGTAACTACCTCTTTCACATCCTCAGTTGCTAGAAAAGCAAAATAAGTGAAAAGAATTTTTTTCAAAATGCAAATTTCTTGGAGCTCGAAGGTTTGAGAATGGCAGGTTGGGGACTTCAGGGCTTCTCCTGCTGCCCACAACATAGCTCTGTGACTTTGCACTGGCCGCCTCACCTCTCTGAGCCTCAGCTGCTGTTCTGTGAAGTAAGTGAGGAAGGCAAAAGGGAGGTGATGGCAGGAACCCCCAGAACTGAGCCACACACTCTTGCTTCAGTCTCTTTATTCGAGAGAAACTTTGTCCTCAAAGGGAAGAAGTAAGAAGACCCCCTGCTGAATTATTTCACAGTAGAAATAGTAGATTCCTCTCTGGTCCTAGATACCACCCCCAGCAGCAATTTTCCAAACCCAGGATTTGGTAACCTTGGGCCTAGGGCATCCCAGCCCCAACAAGAGCATAACATGTTAGGGAGGAACGAGAGAGGGAGGCAGGGCAGGAGTTGAGGAATCACCGACCACTTTCATCCAAACCAGACACCACCTCGTTTTGCAGAGTCCTCAGGGGAAGCTCTCAAAACCTCAGTTCCCTCATCTGTGAAATGGGAGACATCTGGGCAAGATGAGTTTGAAGGTCCCTTATGGTTTTCACGATTGGATTCTATCTTCTCCCACCCATCCAGGCTCCCAACCCCACCAGAGCTGACTCTGGGGTCGAATTTGAGCCAATCCCCTCCCTTTGTCAGTGCCCAGTTTCCTCACCCCTTCTGAACCTTGCTGCCAGAATCTCTGTGCCTCTTCTCTGGAGAAGGACCCAGGAACCTGCAGGGCTCTGTGCGCTCTGGGAATTATCTAAGGCTGGCAAAGGCATCCCGGTGCTTGAGGCCCTTCGTGTTCTTGCTCTTCCCTTCTCCCTGTCCTTGCTGGCTCAAGGGTCAGCTGGAGATGGTTCTGAAATCAAATTCCTCCCACTCTTTGGACTTCCATTCCTCTCCCCTTCTCTCTTCTTTCTTTCTTCCTTGTCTTTTCCTTCTTCTTCTCCCCACCCTCTCCTTCCAAGGGCTGAAGAAGTTGGGCATTCAGGCAGCTGACCTGATTCAAAGCCCAGCTCCATACCTCACTAGCTGTGCAACTCTGAACTAGTGAAGTCTGTTCTTGAAACAGAAACTCACTTTCTGCACCCCCCCCCCACCTTGCTATGATGGTCCCCTTCTGCCAGGGCCAATTTGAGGTTTCAGTGTTTGTGCCTGAACCATCGTAGGTGCTTCATGAATGCCAGATCCCTTTCCTTCATCATCATGCTCTGGGACCTTTCTGTCCCCTCTCCTGTCCCTCCCCTATCCTCAAACACCATCTTCTTTTCTTTTCCCTCTACCTCTTGTCCTCACGATCCCTCAGCTCCCCCACCCCACCCAGGAGGCAGGGCTAAGTAAGGCCCCATCACTGAGTCCTGGGCCCAGAGAGAAGGCTCTGGGCACTAAGTATGTTGGTTGCCTGTGCAGCAGTGCAGGTGAGCACACTTTGCACACTGCAGGGACGATATATGCATGACCCATGGAGATGTTCACATGAAGCTGTGGGGACAAGACTGTATGGGATGTTAAGGCTGCATTTAAGTACTTGACAGGAACCTAAGTCAGAACAGGAAGACCCACAGAGCAGCCAGAAAGAGGGAGGCCAGACTCTAAGGAGGAAAACAGCCGGTTTGAATTGTGCTCCTGTTTATCAGCTTTTCCAATGACAACATGAATTCCTGGCTCCCCCATCCTGGCCTGGACTGCCAGAAGCCCAGGAAAAGCAGCATCCTACAAGCCAGGAGGGCCAAGGCGCTGACGACTGCTGCTGTGACCCGGGACAGGTCCCATCCCATCTCGTGCCTCAGTAAATGTGGGAAGAGGGGAGATGGGGGCCACTGAGCAATATTTAAAGCTCCCTTTTTGCTCTCAAACCGTCTATATTCAAACTCTTTAAAGCATTCAGAGGCTCCAGCTTGGGATCAATTCAGAGCTGCCTTGTCATAAGCATTAAGGCACAATAAGGGAAGGAACAGTTTGTCTCTTAATGAAGTGTGATTCCAAACAGCCCATGGCCTCGGGAACTCGCCCAGCGCGGGGTAGACATTGCATCTGTTCATTGCATCTTGTTGGAGAATCAGCTTAACAATGAAGGGACTTGGAAGAGAACAGAATGTGGACACTTAGGAGCCAAAGGGCCTCAGGCCCACAAGGGACTGCCTCCTGCCAGCTTTCCCTCCCCATTGCCTTGATCTCTGGAGACATAGGAGGTGGGAGCCACGGTAGGAGGCTGTTAATGGCTGTTGAGGGAGCTGGAAGCCAAGTGCATTTTCTCTGCCATGTTGCATCATTTTTGAAAACTATTTGCAAAGTTTCTTAAAGGCCATTAAGATGTTCATCCTCATTTGCAGAAAAATCAATATTTATGGCAAAAATCTCCAAACTTTTTAAGTCCTTCCCAACTCTGCAGCCTCATTTGAGCCAGGCAAACTGAAGTTCAAATCCAAGCTCCGGCAGAGACTAGCTGGGTACCTTTGGGCAAGTTACTTAACCTCTCTAAGCCTCAGATTCCTCCTATGTAAAAGGGAAGTTATAACCATACCTAACTCAGGGTTGCTGTAATGATTAAATGAGAAAACATATGTAAAGTGCATAATATAAAAAGTGCTAAATAAATGTAGGCTATCAATATACTAGAATAATCTCCACAGATAAATTCCAAATAGAAGAACAGAGTTTCTGGAGCCAGACGGAGCCAGGTTCAGATCTTAACTCTGCCACTGATTAGCTGTGTGATGCTGGGCAAGTTACTTTCCCCATCTGGGCCTCAGCTATGTCATTTGTAAATGGGGCTATGACACTCTGTGGCCACAGGGACGTGTCAGTATTAGATGAGAAAAGCCATGCCAGGCACCTGTATCCAGGAGGTATTTGGTGTCTGCAGCTCAGAAACACAGTTCAAGGAGTCCAGCTCCAGACTCTGTCTCAAGTGACTGAGTCCTCGGACATACTCTTCTTCCCAGGGGACTCTCCGGAGTTGCTTCCCAAAGCTGCATTTTGGACCTGTCTCCAAAGGCGTTGAGGAAATTAACCAGAATGAGAAGCCCCACCACCAGTGTTTTATTCTAAGCACCTCCAGCCAGAGCTGAGTGGATTAGGAAAGGCAGAAAAAAATCCCTGTGATGGGGTGAGGGCTGCTGGTGAAGATGCCTGCCACAACCCCACCCCCAGGTAAGAGGGGCAAGGTGAGATCAGGGGCTGGCACCACCCTGACGCCCCAAATAGCTCCAGCCTAAAGCACCATCAGCCTGCGATGTTCTAGGGTGAGCTGCTCCATGCCTGCATCCTTTAAAGGTTCTTTTCTCCTTTCTCATTTCTTTGCCAAATCTCAAGTCCTCGTTGCATCCCTCACTTGTCTTGCCCTTGCAAAGAGCCCACAGGACCTCTCAGGACCAGTTCTCTGTCTTCCTAGCTGATCCGAAAGCCAAATTCATGGCCTATGGAGTTCATGGGCTGATATGTCACCTTCCTCTCCCAGATCACCTATGCATTTCCACATACTTTAACACAGAGCAGTGACTTGAAGGTAGGGTTTTCTGGCCAGCTACTGATAATATATATACAAGGGCCAAGTGTGATCTGCATCACACTGGGTTTGCTCTGACCCCCTCACTGCTCACACCAGGAATGGACCTTGGAGAGTGTCATTTCTGGGGCACACACAATAGGCAGCTTAATCCCACCGCCCTATGCCAATCCCAGTTCATGGCAATGCTTTTGAGAATTCTTCCTTTTTTGCTTTGAGTCAGTCAAGGCTGGCCTCCCAAGAAGCATAAATTGCTAGTCCAAGGCTGTATGGAACACAGCATGTTCTGTCCACTAGAAGAAAGGGGTTCCAGGCCCTAGATTCCCAGCATAAAACACTGTTCATCCCATGCAAAATGCAGTGAAAATTGGTGGATGCTAAAGAGGTTCTTGCCTTGATCTTCAGAAGACATATCCTTGGGTGTCCCTGGGTTGAGAGAGTCCATTGAGGGGTTCCACAGTGAGGATCAAAGCATGCCGGTCTCCCTCTCATTCATAGAAGTCCTCTCATTCATTGATGACATCTTGGTAAAGCTTCTATGGCTGGGGTAGGAAGAGTGGCCTGTATCTTCACTTAGAGCATTGACCAGGCGAGAGAAGAGGGCCACCTTGAACTTCTTGAAGTCCTGACCCATGAAAACATACAGAATGGGGTTCATGCAGCTGTTGGCAATGGCAAGGGCAGTGGCCAGGGGCAAACCCAGGCTGAAGACAGAGCCAGGCATGGCAGTGTGGTGGAGCTCTAGGAGGTTGAGTGTGTGGTAGGGGCACCAGCAGAGGAAGAAGGTAATGATGATGGTCACAATAATCTTGAAGGGCTTCTTGGTCTTGGCCAGGCGGTTGCGCTGCAGTTTGCACACGATGGTGAGGTAGCAAGCTGTGATGATGAGGACTGGGACCAGGAAGCCACAGAGGAAGCGGGTGACAGTCACCACCATGTGCCGGCTATACCCCACAGGGTCCATTTGGGAGTGAGTGGGCCACGAGGAAGACCCAGGTGTGGACAGGCTGAAGTTGTTGAAGCAGGATATTTTCCCATGCAGGTTGGCTGTGTCCCGGAAGACGAGAGATGGGGAACTCAAGAAGAAAGCCAGGACCCAGATGACCATGCAGGCCATGTAAGCCAGGCGAACGCTGCGGTGGTTCTGGGACCAGACAGGGAGGAGCACAGAGATGCAGCGGTCAGAGCTGATGATGGTCAGCAGGAAGACGCTGGTGAACATGTTGTGGATGAGAAGGAAGTTGCTGATCTTGCACATGGCTGTCCCGAAAACCCAGTGGTAGTCCATGGCGGCATAGGTGATATGGATTGGGAGGAAGACGTTGAACAGGAAATCTGCCACTGCCAGGTTGAGGAACCAGACCATGTTCACTGTCTTCTTCATCTTGAAGGTGGCAATGATGATCACCAGACCATTGCCCAGAATCCCGAGGAAGCAGACGATGCTGTAGACCACCACCAGGAAGATCCTGGTCACCCTGGCTTCCAAGGGGGATAAGTCCTCCAAAACCACAATGGAGTCTAAATAATCAGGGTATTCATCACCGTAACTGATGGAAGTGTTGTAATCTTCATCCTCCATTCTCTGCAAGAGAAGACAGGGACCATTAGAGGAACCCTAGAGTTGGCTTTAAGAGGTTGACCAATACCAGCAAGACCAACAATGTTCCCCCTGACTCTGAGCAAGTCCAGTTTTGTGATTTAACCATTTCCTTCTTTGCTATTTTATTTATTGAACAAATGCCTCTCTGGTACCTCCTACATGCCAGGCACTATTGCATTCTACACTCTCTTAATCTTCACAGTAACTCAATGAGGTAGGTAGGTTATGAGCCTCAACTTACAAATGAGGAAACTGAGTCACAGAGAGCTTATGTCATTTGCCTGAAGTCCTACAGCTAGGAAAAGGCAGACCTGTGATTTGAATCCAAGCTTCAGAGTCTATCCTTTTGACAACCATGTTTTCTGTCTGCTTGGGGCCCTGTCTTCCTCTAGAGCCTAGTGGGGGAGACAATTGTTCATCAAAAAGTCCCTCAAATAATGGGAACATTGCAATAATGCTAAGTGCAATGAAGAAGAGGTACATGGTGCTGTGAACTTGATTCCAACATGCTTCTAAAACCAAGTGGACAGCCTTGTTGTGATCCCCCTGTGCACCCAATCTGTCAGTGGTCACTGGTGCCCTTTGGAGTTCAGACCACAAGACTTCCTCACCATTCACCGTTATGTTGTCTGCAGCTCTCCAATGTGAGTCCTCAGCCAATCAGTCCCTGTACACAGCTAGAAACACCTGTAGGGAAAAAAAAAAAAAAAAAAGCAGCAATTGGATCCAGGTCTAAGAACCAGAGGGTTGAGTGGACCCAGCCAGAAATAAGATCTGTTGTTCTTATTCCCATTTTACAGAGAAGGAAGCAGAAGTTCAGAAAGGCTGTTATTCAGCCAAGGTTATGCAGCCAGGAAGGGATGGAGCCCCTTGAACCTAGGTCAACTGACTCTTCCCAGGTCAAGTGCTGGACTCTTCATTCTAACCACTCCCCTCTCCCAGCACATCCCTAGCTGACAGCTGGAGTCGGGCATGAGTAAAGGAAGACACAGAGGAGGTACATGGATGGCTCAATCCACTACCAGGTCGGGACTCAACTCCACTACCAGGGCAGGACCCACAAAATACTGTTTTAGGAAGTGTGAGCACAGAGAAAACAGGAGAAGACCCACACAGAGTACCTGCTATGTGCCAAGAACTTTTATTCTTTCTTGTTATTTAGTCTTCCTTGGGACTTTTCCAGGCAGGTGTTATTCCTTTTGTGTTAAGAAATAGAGAGACTGAGGCTCAGAGAAAGAAGCATCATTCTTGCTGGATATTCTCTGGGCCCTATGGGAACCATGAATGAGATGCAGGCTCTGAAGCCACAGCAGTCTGGTGTGAAGACAGACACAAATATATCCACTGAGCCTCCGCTGTGCAGACAACTTAAGTGGCACTTTAAACAAGCCCCATAACAATCTTGCTGAGTATTTTTCCAGTCTATGGAAGAACAAACATATTCTGAGGAGTTTGCAAGTTTGCAAGATCTTGGAGGCAGTGATCACATGCAGGGTTCATACCTAACCCCGGACACTTATGAGCTGTGTGGCTTTGGGCAAGTGATTTCTCTTCCCTGAATCTCAGTTTTCTTACCAATAAATGGGATTTCTCACCTCACAGAGTGTATATAAGAACTAGAAGCATCAGAAATGTGGAGCATTTAGCTTGGTATTGGCACATAGTAAGCCCTCAATAAATACTAGTGATTGCATTATTGCCTAGAGGTGCACAGCTGATAAGCAGGATTTAAAACCAAGGCTCTGATACCCCAGAGCCCATGCACTTTTTTCTGCGGCTCATGATCTCCCCATCTTGTCAAATGGGCTCCAAACCAGATATTTCAGCTTCACAAGGCTGCTAATCAATGCTTTATTATAAATAACTCCAACCTTCCTGCACATAAATTCATTACTGATCCTTCCCAGCTTAAGGTTATATTTTATTACATAAAAGTCATCTTTTGCTTTTATTAAATAAAAGCCACTTGGAAAATTCCATTGAGGGCTTTGCACTCAGAGGGCTCACAATCAAAGCTTGGGTGTTATCCCACTCTATGCTGGGACAATATTTCAGAAGTGCCCACCAAGGGGTCTCCAAGGGTTTTCTATGGCACTGGAATGCAGAGAGAAGATGGGGACACTGGAGCTGGCCTCCCATGACTGGAGGTAACCTGACAGGTGTGCATGACAGTAGTGGGGAATGCACATTGAGCTCTTGTGTATGCCAGGGACCATGTTAAGCCCTCAGTCCAGATGGTCTCACTTTAACCCCATAAGGGGCTACAGCAGGGCTCAGAGAGATCAGGACCCATGCCCAAGCATGCAGGCAGGGGCTGGAAGAGCTGGGATTTGAACCACATCTGCAAAGCCTGAGCTCTTAACTGTCACTCCACACTGCCCCTGAGACCATGATCTGCTCAGATTGATGACCATCACCAACCTTCCTTTTGGAAGAAATGACCAAGTTGACATTCCCTGTGCCAAACGGTGCAGGCACCAGGGATGAGGACATGGCCTTACTAGGGTCCCTTCCCAAAAGGAGCTCACAGGTATGAGACAAAGAGACAGTGTTGAGGCTGGGGCAAGACTAGAATGCCCCAAGAAGCCCAGAGGAGGGGCTGTTACCCAGCCTGGGAGTCTGAAGCTTCCTGGGGCCAATGGCATCTGAGTTGAGTTTTAAGGACAAGTATGAGTTAAGAAGGTGGAAGGCAGAGAAAGGAGGAAGGGCACGCCGGGCATCTCCCCATCTCTGACCTTCCCCTCCCTCATTGACAGTGGGCTGGGTGTGTGAGTCCCGAGAGGAGGTCGAGGAGGATCTGGGACTCAGGACTGAGTGCTTCGCACAGCATCTGCAGAGATGCAGCCTGAAGCAGATGACATCATGTCGGGCTCTCTGGCTGGGCTGGGAGCAGCTTGGGGTCAGAGGCCATGTTTTTTCATCTTAGAGCTGGGGCCAGGCTGGGCTGGCACAGAATGATGCTGACATCCTCTGGGCATGTCCCTCCTTCCACCCCTAACTCCTCATCCTTCCAGGAATTGAGTGGATTCGTGTCCCCTGTTGGTGCATCGCCCCCACCCCAAGACGCCTCTCTCTCTGGAAGCGTAAGGGAGGCACAAGTCACAGGTTTGCTTTGAGCCTCTGCTCTGTCCTAACACACATCCCTCCTGTCCTGAGCACATTTCTGCTACCAAACCAAGCGGAAGAGCAGACTCTTGGGCCCAGCCAGACTGCCTGCATCCACATCCTGGATCTGCAGGAACTCCCCTGTGACCTTGGGCAAGTCAGTTACCTTCTTTGCAACTCAGTTGTCTTATCTGTAAAATGGGCTTGATAATAATAGCTCCTGCCTCATAAGAAGATGGTTGTGAGGATTAAGTGCTTGGAACAGGTCCCCTTATGGGGTAAGCACTATATTGTTGTTATTGGCATTGTTATTATTTCTCAGGCTTCCACTCTTAACTCCCTTCTAAAATGGTCTTTGCCTGGGAAGGTGGGATGAGGCTAGGAAGCCAGAGGACCAGTGAGTTCCTGGCCACTTGTCTCTCCAGCTGTGGGATCAAGGGCAGGTCAGAAAGGGACACAGAGGCCAGGCACGGTGGCTCATGCCTGTAATCCCAGCACTTCAGGTGGCTGAGGTGGGAGGATTACTTGAGGCCAGGAGTTTGAGACCAGCCTGGGCAACATGGTGAAACCCGGTCTCTACTAAAAATACAAAAATTAGCCAGGCATGGCAACACGTGCCTGTAATCCCAGCTACTCAGGAGGCTGAGGCAGGGGAATTGCTTGAACCCAGGAGCGGAGGTTGCAGTGAGCCAAGATCAGGCCATTGCACTCCAGCCTGGACCACAGGGTGAGACTGTCTTCAAAAAAAAAAAAAGAGGGACACAGGTAAGGATTTTGCTTCTCTAAGCTCCAATGTCCTCTCCTCTCAAGTGGGGGTAAGAACACCTTCCTCGTGTTGTTGGGAGAATCATGTGAAATGACAATGAAGCCTTTGCCAATTGTGAATTATAAAGAGCTGTAAAATTCTAGTTACCCAAATTCCTTAAATCCTCCACAACCAGGAAGCTTATGAAAAAAATATGCGTCACTATATATACCGCTGACCCTTGAACAATACAGGTTTTAACTGCGTGGGTCCACTTATTTGTGAATTTTCTTCTGCCTCTGCCACCCCTGAGACAGCAAAACCAACCCCTCCTCTTCCTGTTCCTCAGCCTACTCAACATGAAAACAATGAGGATGAAGACCTTTGTGGTGACCCACTTCCACTTAATAAATAGTAAATATATTCTCTCTTCCTTATGATTTTCTTAATAACATTTTCTTTTTCTCTAGCTTACTTGATTGTATGAGTACAGAATATAATACATATAACATAAAAAAATACGTGTCAATTGGCTGCATATGTTATTAACAAGACTTCTGGTCAACAGGAGGCTGTCAGTAGTTAAATTTTGGGGGAGTCAAAAGTTATATGTGGATTTTTGACTGTACAGTGAGTTGGCTCCCCTAACCCCTGACTTGTTCAAGGGTCCAGTGTACATAATATGTACATACATATAGTTAACGTTTGCTTGATCTCTCACTGTATGTGCTTTGCAAGACTCCATAATAGCCCTGTAAAAATAACTCCTATTTGCAGATGAGAAAACTGAGGTTCAGAGAGGTGGATACACTTGCCTGAGGCCACACAGCAGGGAGCTCTGACTCCAGAATCTGACTTCCAAGGATCCCAAGTGAAAAGGCTGTTGGGTTCCTCCTGTTTCCCTGAGGGATTATCAGCTCTCATCCCAACCACTCTGACCTCCGTAAGCCTCAACCTTCAATCCTGATAGCCCAAACCTTTGTCACATTCCTGGTCCTGCCACAGAGCTGCCTTCTCTGAGCCACCTTCATAGATTTCCCTTCATCTCCTCCTCAAGGCCTCTGCAGTCAGTTACCACATGAAAATCACACCTGCAATGCTATGTAATTCCTAGTCAATGATGTTGCTCCCTGACTCCCTTGGGATACCCTTTATGAAGCTCTGTGCTCAGTGAGAAATACTCTGGAGGATTCAGGGTAAGGAACAATGTTGCTTCTCTTGAGGAACTGGGTTGCTTTCTCGTTCTTGATCATCCATGTTCTACAACTGATCACATTTCCCTTTTTGATGTGACCACAAGGAAGCTCAGAGTCATGTTTGTTGGTCAAAGGCACAAAAACCTCTAGTCTGCAGGTTTCTGCACTGGTTTTGCTTGGTCCTTATGTCTACATCGAATTATACTTTATATTGGTTTTACTTCCTTGTAATAACTAATAATTGATTGGGTGCACATAAGAGTCCAAACACTGTATCAAGCACTTTCATTGCATCAGCTCATGCATCTCCAACAACCTCCAGGAGTGGTACTGCTATCACTCCCATTGTAAAGGGAGGAAGTGATGCTAATGTCACAGAGTTCAGCCAGTGACAGATCCACATCTGGGTTTGCTCTGACTATGAGTCTTGCTCTTCACCACACTGCTTACTGGAAAGGAGAACACATTTACCGATGTCTGTTCACACCTTTCCTGATACACCAGGCCGTCCAGCTCCACCCTACAGGGACACCCTCCTTGTTGCTCCACTTTTCCTAGCCCCTCAGGGAATTTACCCTCCCAGTTTTCAGGACAATCTAGCTGAGGTCTGGGACACACACACGGGGGTTACTCACCAGAGACCACATCATTCATCACAGCCCATAGAGGCAGGCCGGCCTGACACCTGTCTGCCTCCCTTTCCACCCTCAGCTGCCCAGAGAACCCAGGGGAAGCCCATTCTCCAGGCCCAGCACCAAGATTCTGCCTGAGACCCTGAACTCACACTGGATTTGGCCCCAGGGCAAAAGCCACTCCGCTCTTATCCCCCTGAGTCAGAACTCCCTAAGCCAGTCATACTGGTCCATTCCCTGGGACGGTCCCAGGAGGGCTCCAGAAGGGAATGCCAGGGAGGAGATGGCAGCACAAGGTCCACGTGTGGGCGGCAGGAGACCTGCTGTGTCACCTGAACAAGCTGCTTCTCCTGTCAGGGCCTCAGATGTGCAATCTGCAAAATGAGGATGATAACAATACCCACCCCGCATGCTGTGCAGGACTAGAATAGCTAAAGTGACAGGAATTTGTGTTTGGAGTCAGGACTGGGCAGCAGACGGTCTGGAGAACACTTTGGGCTCTGGGATGCCCTGCATATGCCTGCACCAGGTGCTCCTCCCAGCTCATCAGTCTTGGCAAGAATGTCAGAGAAAGACCCAGAAGGTCAAGGCCCCAGAGGTCTGAGAGCTGTGCTTTGTGGGAGAGGCATGAACTGGAACAACTGAAACTTCTCTTGACCAACACATTTGCTAGGTGGCAGTCTCTAAAAATCAAAATCACTTTTTTTTCAGTGTAGGAGTTTCTACTCCCTTTTAAATTCCTTCCCTAAGTCAACCTCATCCCTAGCAACCAGGTTCAGGCATCCTTTCTAGGAAGCATCCCCTCTCCTTCCTGTAGTAAGTGGAAGGATGCCCTCTGCATTCCACCCCCTGCCCCCAAATGGTGCATCCACTAGAACCTGTCAGTGTTACTTTGTTTGGGAAAAGGGTCTTTGCAGCTGAGATTAAGGTAAGGATCTCATGATGAGATCATCCGGGATTAGAGTAGGCCCCAGATTGCAGTCACCGTATAAGAGGAAAAGCAGGGGGAAGATTTCACATGGACACAGAACAGAAGGCCATGTGGGGATGGAGGCAGAGATAGGAGGGATGCTGCCCCAAGCCAAAGAACATCTGGAGCCACCAGAAGCTGGCAGAGGCAAGGAAGTATCCTCCCCTGGAGCCTTCAGAGGGAGCACGACCCTTGATTTCAGAGTTCTGGCCTCCAGAACCATGAGAGAATAAATTCCTGTTGTTTTAAGCCACTCAGTTTGTGACAGTTTGTTATGGCAGCGCTGGAAAACAAATACACTCCCCATTCTGGCTCCTACAGCGTCCTGCTCACCCATGTGGGGCACATGGCATTTATGTGATTATTGCTGGCATATGCATCTGATTAGATAACAAGTTATCTGAGGACAAGAATTGGGTCTTATTCAGCTCCATTTCCTCAGACTGGAGCAGAATCCAGGCACCAGACAGGTCCTCTGGATATTGGGCTTTGTTCGGTTTCGTTTTGTTTCTCTTACACTATGGACCAGGGCGCCATGTGGCTTGAGCTTACTCACAGCATGGCAGCTTCAGGAGAGTGGGCTTGTTGCCTGGCAGCCCTGGGCTCCAGGAGCAGGTGCGCCAGGGAACACGGCCTTTTACAAGCTAACCTTGGGGGTTAGTGCTTAGAAATCACATTGGGGTCACTTCTGCCTTACTCCTTTTATAACTCTATTTTGAAATAATTACAGACTCACAAGCAATTGCAAAAGTAGTACAGAGAAGTTCCATGTACCTATCACCTAATTTCCCCAATAGTAATATCTTACGTAACTCTAGTGCATTACCCAGAATATTGTTTGATGAATGAATGAATGAATGAATGAATGAATGCTTGTTTTTCTGTCTCACTGGATCTGTCTGGATATTAGAAATAATAACAGTGACATTGTTGATGCCATAGAACATAGAACAACACAACAAAGGGATTAAGGGCCCAGGATATTGCTTCCCATCCATCAGGGCTGGACTATTGCTCCATGACCTGTGAGCTGTGCGACCCTGGGCACATTACTTAGCCCTCTCTACAGCCTCCATTTCAATATTGGTGCAATGGGGATAATCCAAGGACCCACCTCCTAGGGCTGTTGTGAGAATTGAATAAGTGGCATTGGTGAAGCATTTGCAGCACTGCCTAGCATAAGAAAGTTCACCATTAATCATTAATAAAGTACTTCCTTTGTGCTGGACAATGAGCCAAGGAGTTTATCCCATCTCGCCCAATCCTCATGATCACCCTACAGGGTCGGGACACAATTATACGCATTTTCAGACAGGGAGGGACACAGAGGCTCAGGGGGTGAAAAAAGCCCTACAAAGCACGTTCCATCACTGTAGAGCAGAAAGTCAATGTTGCTATTGTTGTTGTCAGTGGTGGTTCTGACCACAATCAGCATCCACCCAAGTCTTTTTTTTTTTTTTTTTTTTTTTGAGACGAAGTCTCACTCTGTTGCCAGGCTGGAGTGCAGTGGTGCGATCTCAGCTTACTGCAGCCTCTGCCTCTCGGGTTCAAGTGATTCTCCTGCCTCAGCCTCCCGAGTAGCTGGGACTACAGGCACATCCCACCACGCCCAGCTAACTTTTTGTATTTTTAGTAGAGATGGAGTTTCACCATGTTAGCCAGGATGGTCTCAATCTCCTGACCTTATAGATCCACCCACTTTGGGCTCCCAAAGTGCTGAGATAACAGGTATGAGCCACCGTGCTCGGCCGCGTCCACCCAAGTTTTCTATCAGTACCTGGTTCTGATTCTCACTCTGTCTAGTTCCCCAGGCCTCTCCCTCTGCTGCAGACCATGTCTTACCTGAAAATGCCACCCAGGCCACCCACACAAAAAAGCCCTACTATGTAACATGTGTTCATCCTCCACCAGCCCCCAGCTCAGTGCCTGGCACATAGTAGGCACATAATAAGCACATGCTTTACTATTGCTGACATCATAATTTATTAAGCACCTACTATGTGGCAGGAGCCAAGCCCATTAGAAATGTCGTCACAGACTTTTTCCAAAACAACCTTGCAAAGGGGGTGTATCCTTCCCCCATTTTACAGACGAGGAGACTGAGGCTTTGGAAACATACAGAGCTTAATGCCCATGTCGTTGTTGTGTTATTGTTATTAGTGTTGCTATTTGTGGCTCCACTCAATTGCTCATCTTGTGTTTGGGAATCCAGCCTCCACCTCTCTGCCCTGAAGCTTAGCTCATGTGGGAGCCCAGATCCCACCATTATAATGGGCTACACACACATACACACACAGGCATGTGTGCTCACACAGACACACACATCAGAATGCACACACACACACTTCCTGCCTCCAACGGAGGAAGATATTTACAATCTCCAAACCCAAAAAGGATTGCTATCTAGCGTACTCAAGGAGCCCCTTCCTGCAAATCCAAAAAACAGCGACCCTGACAGGACAATGGGCAAATGATAGGAACAGGCAATTGACAGGAGGGAAACCCCCAAACCCAGGCATATGACAAATTGAAGATCAAAGAAATGCACATGAAAACCACAACCAGATGACATTCTACACCTTCTAGACTGTGGCAAGAACTAGAAAGCTGGACGCTTCCCAGGTTGGCCGGGTGGGAGCACAGGCACCTCATGCCATGCTGCAGGTATCTGCGAACCCTCTGTGATGGCTCCTGAGTGAATATCCAGGCAGTGCCCCACCTCCCTGCAAGGAAACACACAGGGAGGTGTCCATGTGCATCGTTTTTGGATATGTCTTCTTTCCCCAGAAGCAAATCCTCAACTGACGATTCTGGCAAAAGTGATTTATTAAGGAAGCATTTCAGGAAAAACTGGTGAGGGAGTGAGGAAGTGGGAGGAGGCCAGGCAGGGGTGCAGCATCCCACAGCGTCCTACAGAGGGTGGCCTTGGCTCACACCCATCAAGGACCCTGGGAACAGTGCAGGTCACATTCCAGGAGTATTTGCATGCCTCCGCCCTGTCCTGGAGTGTGCATTCCCAGCCACTCCCAGCCTCAGGTCAGTTCAACAAAGAGCCACACAGGTGCTGGCTATCAGGACCCTAATAGTGCTGTGGTACATTGAGAACATGTCTGCAAAGCGGCAACACACGTTTTGCAAGAATCCAGCCAAATAGCCAGACGCACATTGAACACATTAGAATGGCTCCATGGGAGAGAGGGTGGGAGGGGTCACGGGACTGGGAAATAGGGCTACTGGGAAATGAGCACAGTGAAGAAAGAAAATACAAGCGCAGGGACTTCTGGGGGCCCCTGATGGAGAAGTGGAGGGATGGAGGGGTATAATTATGTCAACCCTCCCTCCTCTCCTGAGGTCCAGGAAACCCCAAAACAAACAAACAAACACTCCGATCCCTGCCTGGGGCTCATGCTTGGGTGGTGCCCAGCTCAGAGTCTTGGTTACTGAATCCCTGACCGAGCCACAGTGGCCAGGCAGGGGGCCAAACATGCAGCCCTCAGAGCTCCACCCGTTTTCCCCGTTAGGCGGGAATGAACTTGGACCGGCCAAAGGAAGTAACAACGTCAGCCCAGCCAGGAGAGGCTGTGCAAAGAGTCCTGGGCCCTAGTCCTTCCTCGTCGAGCCCAGCCCCTGCTGGGGGTGGGATGGTCACCAGGCAGACAGTTGTGTCCTGCCCACACCCCCGCTGCCGGACCCTTGCTGGGAAAGGGACAGGGCCTCAAGGTCACATCTGGCTTCTCCTGCCATGCAGAACAAAAGCCTCCAATGGACATTATTGGCTTAAGTTTTATTAAACAAATACACGTACAGTCCTCACTACAGTCCAGCCACTGTTGTAAGCACTGCTACTAATGAGAAAACAGGCACAGAGAAGGTAACTAACGTGCCCAAGGTCACACAGAGAGCTCAGGTAAGTAAGGTAGGTCCAATTAGCCATTCTGAAGGAATGCTCAGAGACAGGCTTCAAGCCCAAACCCTGCTGAATTGACAAGCTCACTCTCTGTCCACTGCTTCGCCTCCTTGGAACATTCCACAAAACTCTGGCTTTTGCCCCAGTGGAACCTCCCAAGGGCCCCCAGAAAATCAATCTGGCAAGATTCAGGGTGTGCATTTTACAGACGGAGCAAGGCAGGGCTCCGGGTCCCCTGCAATTTTCTCCCCCAGGTCCCTCTGCCTCTGGTTAATAGCCTGAATGTGAAATGCCTCCAATCTCGGTTACAGGAGAAGCCTTTGGAGGCGGGGATCATTCATTTATTCATCCATCCTCCAAGGACATGTGGAGCCTTCTGCGCCCCAGAGCTGGTGTGGCTGCTGGGATGCAGCACACCGTGGGTGAGAGCACACCTTTTCTCTCTGCAGCCTCCCCCTAACCCTGCAAGGTCACTGGTATCAGTCCCACTTTACCAACGGGGATGTCTGAAGCTGAGGCAGGGGAGCAAGTAGCTTGCCTCACACCTGCCTGGTTGGTTGATCGATGACAGTGTTAAGCAGGGATTGCAGGGCTGGAGGACAGCAAGGTTGGGTGTTTACCCTCCAGCTCCTTCCCTGTAGGGTCTCCATGGGTCGACTTGGCCACAGCTATACTCTCCAGGCACCAAGAACCACTGCTCCCTCTTGCCCCTCAGCCTAGAGACAGTGAGTTCTCCTTGCCATTACCAGGACTGGGATTCAAAACCCAAGTTCATATGGATCCAGGGCCTCACCTCCTCTGGCTGTTCCCCTGCCGGTGTGTGTCCTATGGGCTCAGTGTACAGCAGGGCCGGGGACCATCTGGGCAGCAGATATTTACCTTCTGCTTCCTTGATTAAACCCCTTTGCCCAATGGGTTCTTTACATCGCAAAGCACTGGCTCCTTTTCTGCCCTGGTCTCTCTGTCCTTTGTCTCTTTCCCTGCTTCCACCTCTGTCCTGTTCTTACTCTCCTCTGTCTCATATCTGACTTGTTCTTTCTGCCTCTCTCTCTCCCCCAGTCTCTGTGTTTGCCTCTCTTTGTTCCTGGCCCTCTCCGTCTCTTCCATCTCTCTGCAGTCTCCCTGTCTTCTCAGTCTCCACCTCCTCCTCTCTCTTCCCATGTTTTCTCCACCTCCTGCACACCGGTCACGGGTCAGCCCTCCCCCTCTGACAGGCTCGGCTGCCCCTCACCTGCAACATTCCTCACCTGTGCGCCTAGCCAGCCCAAGCTTCCAGCAGCCACTCTGTCAATCTGCTGTCTCTTTCATCGCAGGCTACCACTAACCTCTTCCTGAAAGCAGGCCACAGGCCAAATGCAGGGGCTTTATCAGGGCCTGTGGGCGTAAGAGCCCATCAGGGAAACTGGAAACATTCCTCGCTCTGCAAATGACCATGTTTGGCCTGGCTCCTGTCCCCATCTTCTCCCCACATGACCCACCCTGACAGTCCAGCCAGATGGCTCAGACACCTCTCCTCCAATTCTGTCAGCCTCCAAAAGGAGCTGGGAGGCCCCTCGGAGGACCATCTCTTGTAGCAGGGGAAACTAAGGCCCAGAGAGTGCATGACCCTCTCTAAATCATAGAAAAGAGGGACTTGGTCTCTCTTGTTTATGGTGTATCCCCAGAGCCTAGAACTGTGCCTGGGACTTCCATAACTTCTGCCTCAGTGTGATCCACATAGACCGTTCCATAGATTTGCAAATAGGGACTCAGAGAGGTGAAGTGACTAGTCCAGATTCACACAGCCTTTAAGCATCAGCTCGGGATTTGAACCAAGGACTTTTTGACCCCAAAGCACAAGATCACAGCCTCAACCAGCAGCTGAAATGTAATGAGGCGGGCCAGTCACCACTCTTGCCCTCAAAAATGTCTCTCCTGAGCAGCATACCAGCCTCCCCCTGGCCTGGACGACTGTAGGTGCTGATGTCTTTGCCTGCTGCCTTCTGGGCCAGTCCATTCACCAGATCTCCTACCCTCCAGGGCAGAGAGAAGGGGCCTCTCATCTCCCAAGGATGGCTCCAGAGACACCTCCAGATCCCTGTATCCCCAGGCTCTGACAGACTCGGGAACCTGGAAACCACACAGTGTCTGCAGATGTTCCAGCCACAGGCCTGGCTGCCAGCCCCAGGACAGAATTAGCTCCGTGTCAGGAGAGAATTTCCTCCCTGGTCCCACGCCCACATGTGGGAGCTCGCACTGAGTCACTGCAGCAGAGCAGAGCGGCACGGGCTGCCTAACAGACTGTCCCATTTTCTTTCGGGTTTGGAAGGGGCCACGACGGAGCTTAGGACTCCATAAGAATGGGCAAAAACAAGGAGCTTATGCCCCTGAACCCAGACAGCCCACCTGCTTAGAGGCCAGGAAAAGCAGCTGATGAGCTCACCGACTCAGGGAGACCCCCCCACCCAAAATATTCACGCCACTGCCTGGCATCCTCCCATTAGAACACTACTCCTTGAGCCTTAAAAGCGTTTCCTTCCTCTCCGGGGATCTCTGTCTCCAGATCCCTGTCTGTTCTGTGCCCTACAGGCTGACCTGCTTGAAAATCTCAATAGGCTGTTTGCCCTCTGACCTCTGGTTTGATCCACAACTGCAGGCGTGGAGCGTGCGGTTGGGTACAAACCCTCCAGCTCCCTCCTTGTCAGAGGTGTGCGGGTTGGCCACAGCCACACTCCTTGGGTGCCTTAACTACTTCCTGCTCTAGCCCCTCAGTCTAGGAACAGTGAGTTCTCGCCTTCACTGGACCCGGAGCGTGGTAGGGATCCCTTGTACTGTCTACCCTTTTGTCAGTCCTCCCCTGACTAAGTTCTCGTTAATCACCTCATTTGAGTGGGTTGTCCATCTCCTGCCAACACTCTGACTCAGAAACCAGACTCTCCACACTTTCCCCTCCCTCCCTACCCACACATCTATCAACAAGTTCTTCCCATTTTGTCCTCCCAACAACTCACAGCTGTGAGCATCACCTCTGCTTACCTATGTGGCTACCAGGGGCTCCTAACTGGTTAGAAACCTATCTACCTAGTACACAGACCATTTTATTCCTAGTAGACAAATCTTTTCAAGAAGCAAACCACATCATGTCACTCCTTGCTGAAAACCTCTTAGCACCTCCTTGTTCTTAGAATCAAGACCAATGCCTTACTATGGCCTGAGCAATCTAGACCCTGCCTACCTGAGGACTGAGCTGAGGCTCGAGCCCAGACCCAGACGGAACCAAGTTCCATGAGAACACGCCCTTGCAAACTCAGCCTCATTACTTTATTGGACACCTAGCTGCCCTTGTAACCATCTCCCCAGCAGCCATTCCTAGTCACAGAAGGTCCCCAGCAAGAGCATTTGATGGACATCTGTCCTTCCAGGCCAGGAAGCCCCTGTAGCCCCCAATAATGGGTCCCGTACACAAGCCCTAAGTATCTTCCCAGCCATCCAGCTTGTGCCTCTCCCCATAAACACCGCCCCAGCCCCTGGAGCTGGCCTGTAAACAAATTTTCTCCCCTGCGCATATCCCACTGGACTGGGAGGTCCAGCACCATATTTAGTTAATCCCCTGACGTCAGCCTTGGGTCCACTCTTGCAAATAATCCCCAAGCTATGAACACATTGTAGCCAAAGGGTGGCTGGTGCTGGGGATGCTTACAGCTTGCTCAGGATGTGGTCAAGAAGGCAGCTGGGGTGAGTGACTTCTGCCCATGCTGGGAGCCAGCCTGTGGCACGCACTTGGTGTGCTGTTCTGGGTGTGGGCTTGGAATCTCGACTCTGGGAGGCAGCGGAGGCCCCACATGCCTCCAGAAGCGCCCCCTGAGAAGTCACTCTTCTCTTACAACCAGGTCAGCACAGCTCACCCTCTGCCCTTGCTTCTCTTCTCTGGCACCCTGAGATACCTGAAAAGTGGCAACTCAAGAAACTTACCCAGCCACAGGGTCCCAATCTGCCAGCGGGTGGGGAGAAGGGCAAGGAGGTGGAGAACCCAGACTCATCCGCTCTGGAGCCCTTGTGTTTGAGTCCCATGCCTCGCTCCTTCCTTTCTGTTGCTCTGGTGAGCTGGATAAGGAAGCCATGGCTTCTGCCATTCCCAGCTTCAGCTCAGCCTCCCACCTCCCCAGCATCCCTACATCCTCTGCAAGAGGCTCTGCAAAGCGTGTTTCACTTTATTCAAGTCCCTCAGCTGAAACCAAGCTATTGTCTGGCCTCAGTCGGGACAGGGCATTAACACCTAACAAGGAGGTGGTCCTGGCTGGGTGACCTGGATCTGCTCTCCACACCTCCAAGTCTCTTTTTCCACTTCTGGGGCATGTGGACCACCCAACATACCATGATGGTGAAGGAGAATAACCTCTGTGGCACACCTAGAAAAACAGCCAGCCCTTCATCAGGTCACAAACAATGCCAGTTGCCCATTATTCTCATTTCACAGATGAGAAAACTGAGATTCAGATTCAGTGAAGTGACCGAGTGAGCACGTGGGTAGAATCAGGAGCTCCAGGCTGGGCTTCCAGCTTCTCCTCCCTTGGTTTTCCATGGAATCCTGTCACATATCATCTGGAAGTAGGTTTCACTTCTAGCTCTAGCACTTCCTGGCTGTGTGACCTCATAGAGGTTACTTACCTCTCTGAGCCTCAGGAGCCTCATCTGTAGCATCTGTCTCAAGGAGTTGTGAGGATTCAATGAAACAAGGCTGGTGAGGTGCTTGTCACCACCACAGCCACTGCATTAATAGGGAAAGGGGATTTCTTTCACAGGGTGAAACTGAAATGTGTTTCTACTGCTCCCTCAGTGAAGTCCACTGTTTTAGGGTCCCAGGAGAATTTCTCAGGACACAAGCCCCTTCCCAGCTCTCTCTTCTGCTCATCCCCTGAGCACATCTGGTCCAGGGTAGCCCCGCCCGGACCTCTCGCTGGCCGCTCAACAGCCTGTTCCCTGCAGGCCACCTCCTTCTGGAGACTTCCTGCCCTCGCCTTGACTGTTCCCCTCCAGGGCTCCCATCACTGTAGGAAGTGTGCTCAGCATGGGTCCAGGGAGCTGGGAATGAGGTTTGGCACCTCTTCTTGGGAGAGGTCAGAAAATAGAGGTTCTATTAGAGGGTGAGGACGGGCAAGGCAGGGGCCCCTCCAGACAGGCTGACTCAAATCCCTCAGGAGGCTGAGAAGCTTCCGACAAGACAATCTTGATATTGGGCTCAGCTCTGAAGGCCAAAGATTCTTCCTTCCAGTCCTCTAATCCTCCTGTTTCCCTTCCTCCATCCTTCCAAGAAATAGTCATTAAATACCTATTATGAGCCAGGCCTGGATCTGAGTACTGGGGTTGCAGCAGGGAACAAACCAGACACATCCCTGCCCTTGGAGTCGAGGGGTAGTCGGGGGTGACAGATGCTAAACAGTCAAGTAAACAAATACATAATAAGGAAGACAAACACATCTGGAGCCAGACTGCCTCGGTTTGAATCCCAGCTCTGCTGTGTGACCATGGGCAAGTCATCACACTTCTCTGTGCCTCAGTTCCCTCATCTGGAAAATAGGAGTGATCATTGCTCCTCCCTCACAGAGTTGTTGCAAGGATTGAATGTTGGTAATGGGTTTATGTTGGTAATGTTTTAGAAGCATGCCTGGTTCATCGGAAGCTCTATGTAAATGCTGAAAAAATACAATGAATATAATAGCAGGCAGTGATTTGTGCTGTGAATAAAATACAAAGAGGGTCATCTTCTCAGAGAAGCTTCTTGGAACGCTCTCCCTAACATAGAATTCCCCTCCCCCAGCATTTATGCCCTGTTCCACCTTTGAATGGAGACCTGAATACACAGAGAGGGAGACATGGGCTGGTGCTGTGGAAGAGCATGGTAGGCAGTGGGAACAGCAGATGCAAAGGCAGGAGGATCGCTTGAGCCCAGCAGCTTAGGGCTGCAGTGAGCTATGATTGCACCACTACACTCCAACCTGGGTGACAGGGTGAGACCTCCATCTCCAAAAAAAAAAAAAGCCAGTAGTGGGCAACGTCTAAGGGTCACACTCCTTGCCAAATGCTGTGGGAGTAAGATGGCCCAGTCACTACCTTCATGCAGAGAAAGTGGTTGCAGGAACAGATCGTGGCACAGTCAGTATTCTGAGATGTCACCTAAATTCCAGGCTTCCAGCAAACTGGCCATGCTGGGCTTGCATTACAGAACAGGGGTTATCCACAGTCCCCACCCCTCCCTATTGTTCCCTGGGGTAATAAGCCAGTTGCAATTTGCCATTGAGTTTGTCCAGGGTCTCTGCTGTGGCAGAAATAAGTGCAATCCAGTGAGAGAAAGAGGAACCAAGTCATTCTCATTTTCAGCTTTCATAGGAGAGCACGTATGTCTTTGTGGACATGAAAAATGTTCATAAATGGGTCATTTGGGTCTCCTGCCTGGCCCTGTTGGTCACTGAGTGTGTGGCCCTGGCTCTGCACAAAGTAAAGAGAAAGGGCTGGGGAAATCAGGGGATGCTTCCTGGAGGAGGTGGCATTTGAGCTGAGCCTTGGAGGGTATGAAGCCTTTGCCAGGTGGAGCAGCCGAGGGAAATGACATACCTGCAGAGGAACAGAGGCTTGAAAAAGTGTGGTTAGGGGCTGTGTGTGTGTGTGTGTGTGTGTGTGTGTGTGTGTTAGGGGAGGGGAGAAGGCAGGAGATGTGGCTAAGGAAAGAAGAGGGTTTCAGATTGTGAGATCCCTGCAAGCCATCAACTTTATCCTATGGGCAATAGGGAGCCATGGATGGTTTTAAGCAGAGGGTATCATCCTTCTAAAAAGATTCCAGCTTCTAACCTGGGTGGCTGATGTGGGCACTGCGTTGGAAGAGGAAAGGCTGGAGGCAGGAGAATAGCAAGAGGCCTGGTGAACTGAGGATCCTTCTGCCAGTTCCAGGCCTACCCAGAAAGTGCAGTTTTTGGAGGCTCCAGGCATCAGGATGTCCCATCAGAGAGCCAGGAAGCCAAGCAATCTCTTTATTTTTCTTAAGGATTTTTCCTCAGCCCACAGGGACTGGTTTGCTTCCAGAGCCATTTCCATGGCAACCACCAATGCTCCAAGAAAGGTCTTGAGTGAGCGGAGGAGTGAGGACCAGAGATACTCAGATGGGTCTTCACGGGAAAAGCCAGGTCACAGAGAAGGGCCCATACTGTCCAGTCCTGGGGGCTGGGAGCCATCTTCCCCCGGAGTCCATGATGCCACAGATAAGCTATGGTTGCCATGGTAACACCGAGTCCCCCATCCCCGGGCCTCATGGACCCAGGGCCTTTCAGCAAGGCGGGTAGGCAGAGACAGGAGGGAGGCAGTGCTGAGGGGCAGCCAGAACCTGCAGCTCACCAGGGAGGCACATCCCAGGACACGTGTGTGAGGCAGGTAAGTTCGAAGACCGCCCCCCCACCCCCCGCCCAGGAGATGAGCAGGGTGCAGATGAAGGAGCAGTCAGCAGTCTCTGGGGTCTGGTGCTGGGGTTCTGGAAAGGCATCCCCCACTGCAAATTGATGCCAGATACACACTGCTGCTATGCCTTCAATTCCACCATCAGGGTCCTGCTTTCAACTTTTCCCCAGTGAACTGAAGTCAATGTCGTGATGACGATGGAGAAGCAGAGGCCCACACACAAAGGAGGTTTTTGGCCACAGTTATACAGCAAAATGGCGTCAGGACTGGGGCTCAGATGCCAAAACCATTCCTACTATGTCAGATCCAGTTAGTGGTTGACATGAATGTGTGTATGTGTGCGTGTGAGATATTAACACTTAAAAGTGCTAGGGAGACTGGGCACAGTGGCTCATGCCTGTAATCCCAGCACTTTGGGAGGCTGAGGCGGGAGGGTCACTTATAGCCAGGAGTACAACACCAGCTTGGGCATCATAGAGAGACCCTGCCTCTAGGGGAAAAAATTTTAATTTAAAAATTTAGCCAAGTGTGGTGACACACACCTTTTAGTCCCAGCTACTCAGGAGGCTAAGGTGGGAGGCTCGCTTGAGCCCAGGAAGTCGAGGCTGCAGTGAGCTATGATTGCACCACTGCGCTCCAGCCTGGGTGACAGAGCAAGACTTTGCCTCCTAAAAAGAAAAAAAGTGCCAGGGAAAGGACGCTAAGGGGAAAAGGCAGCATAGAGGGGGAGAGCTGGTGGAGGCAAGAGGCAACAGGAGGAAGGGTGGGCCACTGAGCATGGGCATTAGCCTCCCTTCCCCTTGGACAACCCAAGTGAAGTCAGCGACCCCTGACCCAGGACAGGGCTGCAGGACTCATGGGAAGCCCCAGGCTGGGGGCACGGAAGGACTGCTGGGGGGACCTCAGAGGCCAAGTCCTTCCAAACCAACCTGCTCCCTGTGCTTAAGGAGCCCAGTACCCCGAGCATGGTTCAAAGCACCTGGGCCTCTGCTCTTGCAGGTCCCTCTGCCTGGGGTGTGCTTTCCACAAGCATCCCCTTGCTTCTCCCAGCCTCATGTGCACAAATCCAGGCAGAGCAAACAGCAAGGTGACAAGAGGAAAGAGACCCATCCTGT
The DNA here is from genome assembly GCF_000001405.40 of Homo sapiens. Lineage (NCBI taxonomy): Eukaryota > Metazoa > Chordata > Mammalia > Primates > Hominidae > Homo > Homo sapiens. Next base: position 108,312,073 of record NC_000012.12, read on the forward strand.
TACGTGCCAGGCACCTAGCTGTGAGCTTGACACCCCCTCATCTCCTTGTGTCCTGACAATCCATCTTCCCCCTGGCCTGAGGACATTACCTCCATTTCACAGATGTTGAAACTGAGGCTGTAAAAGGAACCAGATCAGGATCGCCAGCCAGTGCCCAGTGGAACCAGGACTTGAACTCAGATCTGTGAGAACTCAAAGCATCTATGCCCTTATCACAGCATTTCCAAGCATCGTGGATGGGCTGACAGGCCCCTTTCATCACAAGACTGTGAAACGTGTCCAGGCAGCATTCCTTCCTCTCCCTAGGACTTCCCTTACAGCCTACCAGCACGGCTTCTCCATGGGGAAGAGCCCTCACCCACTGCCTGTCACAGGGTCCTGGGGTGCAGCTATGGGGTGAGAGGAACCAAAACTGAGAGTCTGGGGCTCATGGAATCCACCCCCTGCTTATTAGGCACAGACGGCATACTCAGTGCCTCCACTCACAACAAACCTTCGAGGTAGATATTTTCATTCCCATTTTTCAGATGTGGAAATCAAGCCATAGAGAAGCAAGGGCACTGGCCCAAGATCTCACAGTAGGAAGGGGCAGAGGAGAGATCTGAATCTGCACTGCCTGACTCTGGAGTCCAGGTCTTCAGTGACGGTCACTGTCCTTTATGTTCTGTGGCTTGCCTGCTGCACACGGGGCCCTGTGATCTCATATCAGTTGTCCCCACCTGTGCAACTTCCGCACCTTGCACATTCACAATGCTACCTCACTGACTTGGGGTACTTAGAGACTCCAAATCACCCCCCTCTGCACAGTCTCCACAGGCTGGCCAGACTCCCAGGGCAGGGAGTCTGTAGAGGCCTGTCCAGCCACATGGAGCTTTGAAAAATCCCAGAGCCCTGAGCTGCCCCAGGGTCCTCCTGCCTAGGCTGCCAGCCACGAGCACAGAGGCCTTGGAGTGCTCAGGCAGGCTCTGGCCCCTTGGAATTCCCTGGCTCCAGCCCAAGCAGCTGACAAATGGACTGGCACCACTGCCAGCAATCAGGACGGTGGAGTATGAGATCCCACCCTGTTCCCAGGCACAGGGAAGGAGGGGCAGGCTGCCCTTCCTTTTGACCCTGTCACCAGGCTGTCACCTCTCCCAAGGCAAAGCCCAAGCCTTGACCTAGGAGGGGTCTTGCTGGAAAAATTGCCCCCCACCCTACCCCACCCCACCTTCCATGGAAAACAAAAAGCTGCTCGAAGACCAGAGGAAATTCTAGAATCCTAAAAGTCATTGCTAGAGAGGCTTTAGGATCAAGGGGTCTCACACCCTCATCTTACAGGAAAAGGGAAGTGGCTCAGTGCAGCTGACAGCTTAAGCCTCACTCAGTTACAGCAAATCCACATGTGAATCCCAGCTTGGCCCTTCCCATGCTATGTAATCTTGGATTACTAAATCACAGACTCCTCGTCTGTAAAGGGGGTCAATGTAAAGATTTCATGAGATCATATACGTAGGGTGCATAGGGTGACCAGTTGTCCTGGTTTGCCAGAAACCAAGGGGTGTCCTGGGATGCAGAATGTAAAGTGCTCAAACTGGAATGTCCCAGCCAATCAGGGCCCGCTGGTCACTCTATGAACATGAAGAGACTGGCTCAAACAAACATGCCCTTTGGCTGTTATGTTTAAAGAGAGCTATGTCTGGAGTCAGCTATCAGTGAGTTTGAAACCCCCACCAGTAGAACTTCTAGAAAGACTTGTCAAGTCATTGGAAAGCTCTTCCTTTTTTTCACTACACTGACCTTGAGCAAACTGCCACATTCGTGTCAGTGTTGGTTTAGGCCCCTGGAGTCACACAGGACAAGCCAGCCACCTCCCTCCCCAGGCAGCAGCCACTTCCTCCCTTTAATCTCCGCCAGCACTTCCTCTGCATCATTCTTAACCCTTTGCCAGCCGACCCCCACCAGGCCAACTGAGCTGCTCTCCTGGGTTGGGGAGGGGTGCCACAATATGGTTTTGCTTGCAGGTTTGTCGATTTTTTATTTTTGTTCACTTAATTATTGGCGTGATGCAGCTGTGGATGGTGGGAGGTTCAAAAGAGGCTCACTTATACAGGGAACATAAATTAAAGTAAAAGAAGGAAGGGAAACATGTGTAGAGACAGAAAATGGAGTCACGGCTAAGGGTGAAATGCAGGGGACACAGAAGTTCCTAGACACTGACAGTGGCTGGACCATACACTGGAACCCCAGCTTCCTGAAAGGGGGACCCAGTTACATGAGTCACATGCTCCTTGCTAAAAACCAAACCCACTCAGGGGAATAGTAAGGCTTCCTGATGCTAGGAGCAGAAGGACTGTCTCCAGAAGCCTGTGGAGAGAAGACATGGGGGATCTGATCACGGAACGGGGTCTCCAGTTCCTGAATGTTTTAAGGGAGGCTCCAAACACTCACTGATGGACAGCACTGCCCCAAACTGCAATTCAGTAAAAGCTGCTTTTCCTAGATATGACTGTGAGTTTCAGTCTACACATCCAGGTGTATGCACTGCTGGTGTAATCCAAAGAATTTTCTAGAATATCTGAGAAGGGGCCTGAACCGTGGCCTTTAAGTCATTCTCCCTGATGTTTTTTCAGAACTGAAGCTTTGGTAGCAGTAGCAGTGATAAGTGGGACACTACTCTTTCTTTTTTCCCCCTCCCTTTTTAAAATTTTATTATTTTAATTTTTGGAGATGAGGTCTTGCTATATTGCCCAAGCTGGTCTTGAATTTCTGGCCTCAAGCTATCCTCCCACTTTGCTTCCCAAAGTGCTGGGCTTACCATCATGTTCCATCATGCCCAGCCCGAGGGACATCATTCTCTATGGCCCAGGCTCGAACACAGCCTTGTTTTTTTTTTTTTTTTTTTTGAGACGGAGTTTTGCTCTTGTTGCCCAGGCTGGAGTGCAATGGCGCAATCTCAGCTCACCGCAATATCCACCTCCCAGGTTCAATCGATTCTCCTGCTTCAGCCTCCCAAGTAGCTGAGATTACAGGCATGCGCCACCACACCTGGCTGATTTTGTATTTTTAGCAGTGATGGGGTTTCTCCATGTTGGTCAGGCTGGTCTCAGGTGATCCACCTGCCTCGGCCTCCCAAAGTGCTGGGATTACAGGTGTGAGCCACTGCACCCAGCCCAAACACAGTCTTTCTCCACACCAGCTGGGGGTGGGCCTGGGGCATCCTTATACTCACCTATCTGTGAACATATTTTATGAAACAGACAATCATGACAAAGACATACTTGATACACAGGTAGAGTGACCCTCCATCCTGGCTTGCCCACAACAATCCCTGTTTATGCTTCTTGTCATGTTCCTTTCATTCTCAAAGTGCCCCAGTCAGGACAATAAATCCTACAGTTTCCCTACTCATAGATTACTCCCTCCTCTGGCCTAGAAGCTCCTGTGTACTAGCCTTGCCCACCTACTTGTGCCAGGCCCTAAGCTAAGCACACGTCCTGTGTCATTAAATTCCCATAAGGGTCCTGTGAGGCAGGTACCACCATGATCCCCATTTGACAGATGAGAAAATGGAGGCTCAGAAAGGCTGTGGCTGCTGTTTCAGGAGGTAGCCATGTGCCAGGAACTTTCCAGGATTTAAACACCAGCTGGTTCTGCACAGATGGCTACTTTCACTACCTCTATTTTCCAGATGCAAAGACTGAGCCTTAGTTCACTGATAAAAGGGTGGCTTACCAAAGCCCCTATGGTTTCAGCCAGGAAAGGACCACAGAATGTCCAAATTTCAGAGTCAGCTTCCTTCAATCCGGGCTCATGAGCTGTGGGTCCCTGGGCAAGTGACATGGCCTCTCTGAGCCTTGATTTATCTCATTGGTAAAATGAAGATGAATCTTGCTGCTTACTGTTGGGTGAGTGAGGAGCAGACGCAGGACCAGCACTTGGACCCTGCGCCTCAGCCCAGCTCTTACAGCTCTAAGAGGAGGGGATGTGTTCCCCCCAGGAAGTTCATAATCCTCAGCAGAAACAGTGCATACTTCATGGAGTCACTGCAAAATGAAAATGCAGCCCCTTATTCAAAAATTACTGAGAATTCAGGACAGCAACTGCCAAGTGTTAAACAAAGCACAGGCCTTCTGAGCCCTGTGTGGCTGCACTGGTCGCCAGCCTGAGATGCTGGCCCTGCCCCTCAGCTCTAGGGAATTTGAGGGAAGAGCCCTCTTCACTTCAGGCCCCAGCAGGGCAGGGGCTCGGCGGGATAGGTGATCTTAGGAGGGAGGAAGAAGCAGCACAGCCAAGAAAGAGCAGAGAGAACAGAGGATGACACCTCCTCAACGTAGACAGAAAGAGAGGGGGAAGAGGGGCAGGGAGAGGAAAGCCAGCAGGAAGAGGAGAGACGCACAGGGACTGGAAAAAGGAGGACAGAGCGGTCAGGGCAAAGCAGCAAAGTGGCAGAAGAAAGACGAAGGCAGGGTGAAGAAAGTCCCCAGGAAGAGAGACCCAGAGGCAAGAAGAAAGGGACAAGGCTAAAAGGAGTCTTCTGCCAACCTCTGAGAAGGTTTAACAAGACCCCATGGAGCCACCCGGTGTGGGCAGGGAGGGGCCCCATGAATAGCTGTCCTCCTGGGGTGAGGGCCATTTGCTATTGCATTTGCATACATTTAAAAGCACAGGAAAGGCAGTGCTGGGGATTTCCAAAATCCCCAAAGATCAGGGAGCTACGGGCAAGGTGTCAACCCCATAGCAGAAATGGGTGGGGCTTTTGCTTTGGGATGGAAAGCCACAGGCACCGGTTGGAACCGCCAGTGGGAGCTCAATCACAGCTCACTGCAGCCTCAACCTCCCTGGGCTCAAGTGATCCTCCCACTTCAGCCTCCTGAGTAGCTAGGACTACTACAGGCATACACCACCACACCCCACTAATTTTTTTTGTATTTTGTAGAGATGGGGTTTCGCCATGTTGGCCAAGCTGGTCTCCAACTCCTGGACTCAAGTGATCCACCCACCTCAGCCTTCCAAAGGGCTGGGAATACAGGCATGAGCCACTGTACCCAGCCTCAATGTCATTGGTTGATTTTAACAGGAAAAGGTGTGATTTAACACACAGCCTGTTTGGTGGTGGGCTGGAGGCAGTGTTTGGGAAGGTCCTGGCAGACACAAGATGAGCTGAAAGCCATCCCAAGCAGTTCTCTTCATTGAGCATGGGTTTCAGTCATTATGTGCTCTAGAGGTTCTCTTCATCCATGGTTATTAGTGTCAAGGAGAGCCCACAAGAACGCATTGTTTTCCCTACAAACATTTCACCAAGAGCTTGGAATGAAATGGCAGGTCCACTATGAGACATAGGTATTGACTACCCATGGCCTCAGGAGGCCACCAGGAGTGCATCACGGTCATGAGGATGATGTGGACACTGGAGGGAGGGGTGGGCTCTGTGTAAACCCCACAGGACTCTCTCAGCTGGTTCAAAGTGGGCCAAAGGTGGCCTCATTCTGACATCAAGGAAAGCCGTAGTCAGCTGGGCAATAAATCCAGCTAGTTTGAAAACTCCAAATGTGCTTATGTCACAATCAAGGAGAAAATAGGAATGAAAACCACGGGCCTTAGAATTTACAACACACATACTATTCACATAATAACACTGTTAGCCTAACAGCCATCCATCCACAATTCTAATAGGCTTTTTGAATTTAAATTGCTGACCAGGCATCACAACTCCTTCTAACTGGTGATGTTCAAACCATCTAAAACTATAGAAAGATTAGAATGAAAAATCTTGCTCCTACCTGCCACCATCCATCCAGTTTCCACTGTACCCACCTCCCTATGTTAGTTCCTCATGTCTCCTTCCAGAGTTTCTTTGGAGAAATACATTCTCTTTTCATTTCATTTCTCTCATTTTGCATAAACGGAAGTATACTAAACACATTATTTTGCAACTGGCCTTTCTTGCCTAACAATATCTCTTGGTGATGATTTCTTATTAGTATATTCATATGTACAAAGCATCTTATCCTTTTTGATAGCTGCATAGTATTCCATTGGTAGATTTGCCAGCATTTAATTAACTAGTCCCAGGGATGGGCACTTGAGTTGCTTCCGGTTTCTTGCTGTTACAATGTTATAATAAATCATTGTGTGTGTTACAATGTTACAATTAACTACATATGTGTATCATTTTCCACATATTCTTAATAGAGTCTGGAGTTCTCAAGCCCTGGTCTTTTATAATGAGCAAATGGGCTTTAAGCACTCCCTTTGCACTGACTGTGCTGTGTTTTGATCCATCAAGAATATCCTTCAGAGCCACTTAGACCTTCAGTCCCCATAGAACCTGGGCCATGTCTTTAGTACAAAGTCTGTCTCATGGGAAGTCAGAGAACCTTGGTTCTTATTCTAGCTGTACTGGCTGTTCCAACTCCCTGTCCTCAGTTTCCACGTTTATCAAAGGGAAATGACAATTGTTTGCAGGGTCACTGTGGGGATCAGCTATCAGGAGAGAATTCTGTGGATATATGACAGTATCCACAGTGTGAGGGAGATTTCTGCCTGAGGCCTCCTCGTCACCCCAGAGGGCAGATCTGTTCTCTGTGGGTTCCCAGAGAAGATGCCAGTCAGGCTGGAGGAGGGAGTCTCTGCAGAAAACAGAGCAGCCACCTGCCAATGGCAGGTTTCCAGTGTGGTCCCTGATCCCATAGCAGCCAGAGCCCAAGCCCACAAGGAGCCATGTTCTGGAGGTGCCTTTGGTGGCCCCAAGCAGCCCTGAGAACTGCCAAGTTGAAGCTGCTTTTTATTCTGTTTTAAAATAAAATAGTGATCACATTCCCAAGGTGTGGAGACACCCCTCCCCTCCACGAATTAGTCTCAGCTTTCCCAGCCACTCAGGAAAGGATCCAAAGGAATTTTCCACCCATGCCTTATGCAGAGCAAATCCTGGTGGACAACAGGGTGCCTGCCTCACTTCCAGGCAAGAGTCCTCATCTCCCTCTTTGTAGCACTCACATCTTCCCAACTTGCCTCCCCTAGGGCCCCAAGGTGCTGACAAGGAGCCTTTGTCTCCCTCTTCCTGGCCTCCATGCCCTTTGCCAAGAACCCTGGCCATGACGTCTCTGCTGATGCAGGTTTCCAAGGCTCATTTTGTAACCATGAGCAGAGATCTTTGAAACCGCTGCCTCGCTGAGCCATGAGAACCATCCCTGTCAACCCTCAGGGTCCTTTCCATCCCTTACTTTGCCCCAGCCTCCCAACAACATTGAGGACCACCCCTACCTCACAGGTGAGTAAACTGAAAGTCAGAGAGGTCAAGCAACTTGCCCAAGATCACACAGCTAGAAAATGGAGGAGCTAGGACTTCAACCCAAAAGCCATGTTCAATGTGTGATGGTTAAGGGTACAGGTTCTGAAGCCAGACCACCTGAGTTCAGAGCCAGCTCTGTCACTTACTACCTGTAAGACCTCTTTGTTGCTTAAATTCTTTCCTCAGTTTCCCAATCTGTAAAATGGAGCAATACATGCCTCACAAAGTACATACCTCATAAATAATATATACCTTATAAAGTTAGTATTAGGATATAAGAGAAGGAATATAAACAGCTAGAATAATAATACCTGGCCCATGGTATGTTCTCAGTATATTATCCATTGTTATTATTGTTGTTGTTGTTGTTGAGTATAATTATGAATCTTACCATTATATGACTTGGCCTCACACATAAATGTGGCATGATTGTAAGGGAGTATGGTTTAAAAACAAAACAAAACAAAAACCTCCTCTCAGAATTTCTTTCACACTGAGGTATAAATATCTGATGACATATTACACATTTCTCATTCTTACATTCAATAAACCTTACTGAGCACATATTACCTGCCAGGTGTCAGGCTGGGAGATAGAATACAAAGATATAGTTCCCACTCCCAAGAAACCCAAAGCCAGGTAAGAGCAACAGACGATGAGTAAATCATGACAGAGTAAGCCCAGGGCTGGGGGACCTGTCGGCATAGTATCCATTCCAGCTGCCAAGTCAGGGAAGGCTGCCTGGACACAGTGAAATTTGAAGGACAAGCAGGAGTTGGCCAGTGGGCACCCCAGGCTGAAGTAACTGCAGAGGCACAAAAGCATTGCACTTTCACATGATACAGCTGGAGAAGAAGGTTGTGAACTGAGTTGGGATTTAAAGCTGTGATGGTGGAAACTCAGGCACTGTGTGGAGTAGAGGTAGAGTTTCAGCCAGAACATATGGACCCCAGTGTCTCTAAAATCCCAAAGGGGTGGCATGACTAGGGGACGAAGCCCTGAGCTTCCCTCCCCAAGCCCTGGGAGGTATGCGCCAGGTAAGGGGTGCTTTCTCCTGAGTGCCAGCAGAAATCCCAACCCACTCCAGGGATCCGGGACTCAGAATTAACATCCCAGCCCTCAGACTGTGAATACCTCTCCCCCACATTTAGAAAGAGCCAAAAGTGCCAGTCCACCTCCTAAGCCCTTCATATAGCATATACCTGATTACCCAAAAGCAAAGATTTCTCCTTCCTTCCCTCCTTCTTCCATCTTCCCCTCAGCCTCTTCCTCCTCCATGTCTCCTTCCGTGGGCAGAATCACAGACACCTGTTCCACTTTGGCCTTCCTCTCCCCAGCTCCCACCCTCCAGGAAACTGAGCCAGCAGCTTAGGACCAACCAGGTCCTCAGGTCACACCCACATCCACACTGGCTCCACCCACCCTCCTGCTCATTCATTCGTTCTACAAGAGGAATAGAAACTGGACCCCAGAAACTCCAGCACAGCCATATTCAAAGAAACACAGTCCAGCAGCCAAAAGTGCTTGTAAACCTGTGAAATTTTTACTGCCACTTCTCAAAGAACAACAGGATGGTATTGTGGTGGATGTTTTTGGTGCCTAGTCTGGGTCCTCTTCACTAGCAGGGTCCCCCATCTGCCAGCTGCAGGGAATATTAGATGCTAACAGCTCACAGCTGCCCTCTCCTCCTAAGAATTGCCCTCAGCAGAGCAGGAGCAGCCTCTCCCTGGCTGCCGCAGAGCACAATGCTCACTCCAGGGGTCCCCGTGGGATCAGACTGAAGCTAGTCTCACCTGAGGCCATATCCTCAATAACCCCTTCCCTGATTCCCATTCTCCTGAGAGCACAGCTTGGACTGGAGGAGGCAAGTGAGGCACTTGCCTTGAGTGCAAACTTAGGGAGGAGGGTTGCCAAAAACCTCACTCATACAAAAAATAATAATGTAATGCAACATTTTTTCAAAATCAAATTTACAGCTATGCAGGAGGCTAAGGCGGGCAGATCAATTGAGCCCAGAAGGTCAAGGCTGCAGTGAGCTACGATCATACCACTGTACTCCAGCCTGGGTGACAGAGTGAGACCCTGTCTCCAAAAAAATAATAATAAATAAATAATAAAAATTAACGCAAAATATTGCATGATGAGCAAAACATCAAAATAAAGATGGGATCCCATCCTGCACTTTCACGCGTCTGCGTCACTCACCACCCCCTAACTCTGACTCTGCTGGAGAGCACACCCTAACACAGAACGTGCACCCAAATCCCTGTCTCAGGCTCTGCTTCAGGGAAACCCAATCTGAGACAGGGATCCAGATCAGAACCCACTGCAGGGGTTCTTAGAATGTACTTTGACTCATTCCTCTCCTCTGTATTCCCAGATCTAAGACACCCTGATGCCCTTCCCTAGCTCCTCCCCACACAGCCCCCTTCCAGCCAAGGCTCTCTCTCTGCTCACTGCCCTGACTGAACTAGGAATTGAGCACATATGGTGATACAGTTTGAATATCTGTCCCCTCCAAATCTCATGTTGAAATCTGATCTCCAGTGTTGGAGGTAGGGCCTAAGGGCAGTGTCTGGGTCATAGGGGTGGATCCCTCCTGACTGTCTTGGTGCTGTCCTCCAAGTAATGGGTGAGTTGTCTATTAGTTCCCACAAGAATTGATTGTTTAAAAGGAAGAGGTTGAGGGGAAGGTAGAAGAAGGGAGGGGAGAAAGGATAAATCTTTGCTTTTGGGTAATCAGGTATATGTTACATGAGGGGCTTGGGAGGTGGGCTGGCACTTTTGGCTCTTTCTAAATGTGGAGGGAGAAGTGGTAACAGTCTGAGGGCTAGGATGTTAATTCTGAGTCCCGGATCCCTGGAACGGGTTGGAACTCCTGCTGGAGCTCAGGAGAAAGCACCCCTTACCTGGTGCATACCTCCCAGGGCTTGGGGAGGGAAGCTCAGGGCTTCGTCCCCTAGTCATGCCACCCCTTTGGGATTTTAGGGAGACACTGGGGTCCATATGTTCCGGCTGAAACTCTACCTCTGCTCCACACAGTGCCTGAGTTTCCACCATCACAGCTTTAAATCCCAACTCAGTTCACAACTTTCTTCTCCAGCTGTATCGTGTGAAAGTGCAATGCTTTTGTGCCTCTGCAGTTACTTCAGCCTGGGGTGCCCACTGGCCAACTCCTGCTTGTCCTTCAAATTTCACTGTGTCCAGGCAGCCTTCCCTGACTTGGCAGCTGGAGTTGATACTATGCCAACAGGTTCCCCTAGCCCTGGGCTTACTCTGTTAGTTCCCACAAGAACTGATTGTTTAAAAGAGCCTGGCACCTTCCTTCCCTCTCTCCCTCCTCTCCTCATGTGATGCTGGCTCCCCTTCCCCTTCTACCATGAATGGATGCTCCCTGAAGCCATCACCAGAAGCAGATGCTGATTCCATGCTGTTTGTGCAGCCTGCAGAACCATGAGCAAAATAAACCTCTTTTCTTAGTAAATTACTCAACCTTGGGTATTCTTTTATAGCAACACAAAATGGACTAAGACACATGGTAATCATTTCATCCAATTGCCACAGCTGGGCACCTACTATGTGCCAGGTGCATTCTCCCCCTGCAATCCAGCCTTGGATCTGGCAGCAGATACCTTTCCCTCCATACCTCATTCTCTCAGATTCCCCCTTCAGCCAGACAGTGCCCACCTGAATCCCCCACTGAGCTCAAAGAAGCCCAAGAGACCAGCTTAGTTCAGTCAACTTCACGCCTTGGGATTTCATGAACTGGTTACATTTCCCACAAATTTTTGAGACTGTCATAGAGTTGCCACCTTTCTACATTTGCCAAGTAAGGACACTGCAAAACTAAAACCATCCTTTACCATCACCACCACTTCAGAAAAGAAACAACACATTAATACCCACGAAAATAGGTGAGACATAGACTCATCTTTTTCAGTTGAAAATGTTTCACTTTATGAAATGCTTACCTTGCTATCTGTGATTTTCCCTTTTTTATTTTATTTATTTATTTATTTATTTATTTTTGTGGCTTATCTGCAGACTGGTAAAAATGTGGACACAGGCTCCGGTGGGCTGGGGTTGTCAACCCTTCTGTTTGACATTGGGGGAAACTAAGACCCAAAGGACAGCTTGCCTTCTCCATTCAAACCCTAGCCCTCAAATGTTTCCCTGAGGGAACCTGAGGAATGAACAAGGTGCAGTGGAGACAGGAAGGCTGGGTTTTAGTCCTGACTCTGCTCCAAATGTTCCATGAACCTGCACAAGTTTCTGCCCCTCTCTGAACCACAAGGCTGCAAATCTTCAGATGACACTGAGCTGGAAGTTGCCATCTGGTCCAATGTGTAGGACTTGGGGTGCAGTCCCTGCCTGAGCTCACAAACAAGCTTGGCTGGAGAAACAGGACTGGATGCCAGTCCTCTTTCTCTGATATCCAATCTAGCGCCTCAGTTTCCTCTTCTGGAAATGAGTTCTTTGATCATTGCCAACTCCAGACTGCCACACAGACAGTGGCACAGGGGCCAAGGGAAGGGAACTGGCAACAGCTAAGCCACCTGGAGGAATAGGCTGGCCCCACAGCCAAGGACCTCTGATAAGAGGCACAGAGGACTACTTCCAGCTCCAGAGAGACCAGGGGTCTACAGTCCAGCCCTGGCAGGTCCCCTCCCTGTCAGAGACCCAGCCCAGGCCAGAGGTCTAGGGCTCCAGCAGGGAGACCCCAGAGTTTACATCTCTGGGCAAAACCAGGCATTTACCTGTCCCCAGTGGAAAGGTACTTGGGGTCCCTGGTGACGACTGGGTTCTTGCCGGTCTCTTTTTTCTGGGAGCTGCATGTGATCACGCTTGTTGTAGAACAAGCACATCTCAGCTGTCCAGGAAATGTGGCCTGGCTGCCCAGACACAGATGTAGGGGGGCAGATAGGAACAGGGCTCACCAAAGGGGCATCTTTTCAAGTGTTGTAGTGAAGGCTGCCTGGATTCAAGCCCTGGCTCTGCCGCTTACCAGCTGTGTGACCTTGGGCAAGTCGCTTAACCTCCCCGTGCCCCTATTCCCTCCAATATACAATGGAGAGGTGAGGGGAAGAGGATCCTATCATGTGGGAGCACTCCCCTCAGACCTGAAAATCCATGAGTTCTCTACCCCAAGTTTCTCCAAGCAAGCCACGCAGACGGGAAGCCAGAGCACAGACGAGGCGCCTCTCCCTGGAGCCGACCCAAAGACTTCCAAGGGGCTCCACTTTCATCTTTAAATGCATGGGCCTATTATGGCACTGAATGCAAAGTTCCCAAGCTATTTTTTTAAAGCATGTGCCCTCAAAATAATTGTATGCAGTTTAAAAATAAAACACATGGTCTTGAAATAATTTTAGTGAGGGTTTGGTTTTCCCTAAGGGAAAGAGATCCTATTCCCTGAGGGCTGAGGGTGCACCCTTCTGCTGTTGGGCTCACTTGTTCATTTCCTTGCAAGTGTTTACTGAGCACCCACAATGTGGTGGGTGGCCTGAGCATGCTTCCTCCCACAGCCTCCAGTCTGACCACAGCCAGGTCCCAGAGGGAAGAAACCAGCAAGAACCCTGTCAATACCCAGGGCCTTGAGAACACTCCCACCGGGAATAAGTGCTTGGTTTTGCCCAAAGTTGCTGCACTCAACCTCTGGAAGACCACAGCTGGTTCAGAGCACTTGCTACAGAAGAAAGAGGGCAAGAGGAAAAGGAGGAGGGAGAAGGAGACGGAGCAGCCGAGACAGGGCAGCAGAGCCAGGGCTGTGGAAGGTGCACTGGGAGGACAGGGATCAGGCAGCCTGGAGTTGTCCCCAGCATTTCCAGAGGGCTTCCAGACACCACACCCCTCGGGGAGCCAGAAGACACCCAGACAAGCCTCATGAGTCGTTCTGGAAACTTGTCCTGGGGGCCTGCCTTGGACTGTGGCTTCTTTCATTTCACCCCTGTCCACTCTCAATCACCTGAGAGCATGAAGATCAGAGCCACAGAGCTTCTTACTAAATCCACATCGTGGCTGGGGATATGGGTTGCTGGTAACAAAATAGCTCAGGCTGTACACTCACTAAGCGCAGCCCTGTGTAGACTCCTGGCAGGTGCAAGGCAACTTGCACCCCTACTGTTATCAGCCCAATTCCAACTTCCCCAATGGGTAAATAGCTGGCTGTGGCAAATACCAAAAATATTTAAATAGCTGGCTGTTGCAAATACCAAAAGCAAGAAAAGAAATAAAACATACCCTCCCACAGATCCATCTCCCCCTGCCCCACCCAGATAACCCTATGAGGCAACATCATCCTTACACCCATTTTACAGATGAGGAAACTGAGGCAATCAAGCAAGGAAGTCAAGGAATTTGAAGCCAAGCCACCGAATTCCAGAAGCTTTGACCGTCTTGCCATCCTGCCTCTCTAAACACACCTGGATAAAATGCACTTCTACCCACACCAGCGCAGCCACCAACACCACATCCTCTCCCAGTTCTCACTTCCACTCCCTGAACAAGGAGGGGAGGAAAATGAGTTGAAAGACAGTTTTACCAGTTCTGCAGAAAGTGCAAGGACCCCAGGCTCCTCATCCAGGGCACAGGACATGTTGGGGTAACCACTCCTACCCCCAGGCTCTGTCAGAAATGCTGGCGGGTGGGTGGGCAGTGTAGACATGAGTGCACCAAGATTGGGACACTCACCTCCGTGACCTCCCAGGCCTGCCCTATTTCTCTGAACTCTGCTAACATGCAGCTTTGTCATTTTTTTTAAGATAACCCAATTTTGGCCATTCTGTCTACAAGAAAAGGGAGGAAGAGAGAGGCCCCAACGGAGGTGCAAATAAGTTGGAACTACAAACTTCTCCTATGAAATTGACTCAGTAGTTTTCTTTCCTCAGGTCCTTGCAGCAGAGGAGGCTGTGGCTTGCTTGTCTCTAAGAAGATCCCCAACCAAAAGCCTCCCCTTCCCTGTGTTTATGTCCACAGCACCTGAATGTCCCCCACCCTGAGCACTCTCTGCTGGCTTAAGGCATCCTGCTCCCAAAACTTCCACTCCAGCAAGCTATCATCAGTTGCAAACACCTCAGTGTGAGTGAGTTTATTGCTTTGGTTTCCAACTGGCCATCTGGATGAGAACAGGCTTCTGAGGCAATGGGCCATGACACTGATGAGTCAAGCCATGGAAGATGAAGAGACAGTCCCATCATAAAGGCCATAATCAGTATAGAAAGGGTCTGCAGCACGTGAAAGGCAGAAAGGCCTGGAAATCACAGGGGAGGATTCATGGACTCTGGAGAAGGGGACTGGGAGAACAGGGTCAGCCTGGGCGATGTGGCCTTGGGCACTCAGCTGATGTCTTTGAGCCTCAGTCTCTGGGCCTCATCACACACAGGGGAAAGCTGGCTGCTAAGGGGCTGGGGGCTAGAGCGGAGGAGGTGATTGCAGAATTCAATCGCATTTCAGAAAGCATTTCCCAAGGGCCTCGCATGCACCCTGCCTTATTTTAAGTGCAAGGAAATCTTCAGCATGCTTCTTTTACAAGGGATCTACTAAGCACTGGTCCCACTGCTATGTGCTTTTTCATGGATTCGCTGATTTAATCCTCACCACACAACTCATGGCAGATCCTGTCATCAACTCTAATTTATAAGTGAAAAAACTGAGGCTGAGAGAGAGAGAGAGAGAGAAACTGATCCAGGATCACCCAGCTGGTAATCAAGGGACTCAGGATTTGAACTCAGGTCTAACTCCAAACATGGAACTGTAACACGATAGAACCCACCAAAGAGCAAAGAGCTACAGCTGCTAGAGGGTGGCTGCCTTTCAAAGACAGAGAGGGGGGTTGGCTAAGAAAGATGTCCTGAGGCCAGGCACGGTGGCTCATGCCTATAACTCCTTCACTTTTGGAGGCCAAGGCAGGAGGATCACTTGAAGCCAGGAGTTTGAGACCAGCCTGGGCAACATGGTGAGACCCTGTCTCTATGAAACATTTTAAAAATTAGCTGGGCATGGTGGCACATGCCTGTAGTCCTAGCTAACTTGGGAGGCTGAAGCGGGAGGATGGCTTGAGCCCAGGAGTTCAAGGCTACAGTGAGCCATGATTGCGCCACTGCACTCCAGCCTGGGCAACAGAGTGAGACCCTGTCTCTTAAAAGAGAGAAAGAGATGTTGTGAATTAGAGAATGAAGGAGTGAGTGAACACACATCATCTCTCTGGGCCTCCATTTCCCTGGCTATAAAATAGGACTGTTTTTCCCACTGCCCACACATCTGATGAGTGTCTGTGAAGCCAGCAGGTAGGTACTTGGCTTATAAGCAGCCTGTTGTGATCAGCCAAGAGGTAGGACTGGTCCCAGAGGACAATCTTGGAGGCGGGAAGCAGGACTGGGCAGCAGCCCAGCCTGAACTCCATGGGTGAAGGCTACCTGTCCCTTCAGGCGGTGGAACCAACGCAAAAGGCTCTTGGAAGGAAGAACGAGGAGGTGCAGTGGGCTTCCTGGGCCCCGGGAAAATGTGAAACACTGGACGGGGTGGGACGGGGCTGAGAAAGTGTGGATCAGAGGCCAGCCTTCCAGGACATGGAGGATGTCCGGGGTCCCAGCCTGACAATCTCCTCCCGGGAGACCTGTCAGAAACCCTGTGATGGGGAAGGGAGGGTATCTCCCCACCAGCTGGCCTCACAGGCTGCTCACAGCAGTTCTCTCCCCTCCCCAGAGTCGTGTTTATGATTTCCTGATTTCCTTCACATCTGAGGCTTTTCATGGGGTGAGAGGGAAAAACAGTAAAAGAAAGGCCTGTTTAGGCCAGACAGGGCCAGCTTCCCCCGGGAGAAGTGAGGCCAGCAAGTCAAGGTCTCCACCCAGTCCCTACCATGTCTTTTGGCCAAGGCAGGAAGTCGAAAGGGAAAAGCCTGGAACGAAACTATGACTTTGGCATTGCCTACAACCGGCATTTCTTAGCCTCTCATGGTTCAAGAATGCTGATCTCCCGCATCCCTTCCCCACCAGGCAAGCCCCCTGACACCAAGGCCACGCTTTATTTTTTAGCCCCAACTCCGGGCCACACGTGATCTCGTTTAAGCCCCACAACACTTCAGTGAGGAAAGCCCTTTTATGATCCTCTTCGTAAAGTTGAGGAAACTGAGGCTCAGAGCAGTTAAGCAACTCTTCTGAGGCCTCCCAGCCAGCACGTGGCTGAAATGGGTTTCAAAAGAGGTCTGGAGAAAGCGGAGCAGCTGCCTCTATCCACCCGGTGGCCATCCCTTCTGACTCAAGGGAAGCCCTTTTTCTTCATGACCTAAATCCCTGACAGCTGAAGAGGCCCCCTGTGAGTTGAGTCTGTCATAAAAAAGACTGAAAATTGCCTGCACTCCCTGAAGACCTGTTCTTGACGTCAGTCAGCCGTACCTCCCCATAGCTAGGAGGCCGGGGGGCCCTTTAATGCCCAGCCTGGGTTAGTCTGGCTGCTGCAACTGGTGGCCAAGTCTGCCTCTCTCCAGTAAAGACATCACCAAATGGCCTTGGGCAACCCAAAGTGCCATCTTATATCAGCTCTCCTTTAGGATTAAACCAAAAGGAAACACCTCATTTCCTCTCAGCCTCTATGCCTACGTCCATCAGCAAGTCCTGGGAGTGGTGGGAGGGGGACCCACCATTCAATCAAGAAAGCCCCCAGTGGAGAGAAAGATTCTCTTCTCCAAGCTGGTTTATGGGCCAGACACCCCATGAGATAAAGCCACAAACCAGCATGCCCACTGGAATTTCAAACTTAATTAGCTTCGGGTTGTCTGGAATCTTCCATTGTCCAAATGTTCAAATTTAATCAACTGAGTTTGGAGAGGGCAAGGGTTGGAGGCAGCAGGATGCTGTTCCCATGAAATAAAGCACATTGGACCACCTGGAAAATTGGGTGGGGCCTTCAAGGCCCTGAGGAGCATTCCGACCTCCTCCTGCCATCCCTGCTTCCTGCCCACCACGCCAGACTCCCTGCACTCATCAAGTCTCTGGATCTGTGTTCATGCAGCTCTCCCTGCCTAAAATCTCTCTCATGTCTAGCCAACTGCTCCTATAAGCAACTGAAGGCCAATTCACCCTTTGAACCCAGCTCGAATATATGCTTCCTTCTCGAAGCACTATTTCCTGGCTTCCCCAGTGAAAGCTACCTCCACTTCACTCCTGCAGTACTTTGCACACTAAATGTATCAAGCAGGCATAAGTGGGAGGGTATTTAACAATAAGCACTTGGTAAAAATGGCCCAGTAGTCACTTACTGTTCTGAATGGATGATGAATGGAATCATCATGGGTGACTGTGACCTGTGAGCAAAATTTGCCCCAAGCAACCAACATTAAAGCCAACCTTCTGGCTAGATGGGCCTCCACTCTGTCTGTTTACTCACCTGTCTCCCACTCAACAGGAGCTCCCTGTATCCCATGCTCCTAGCACACAGTTAGTGCTCAGTAAATGCTTGTGAAGTGAACAGAGGCTCCTTTAAACAAATCCTTTTTGAGTTTCAGTTTTCCCATCTGAAAAATGGGAGTGTAGTCTAACTTAGGGTGACAAATGATTATCTCAGATGGCCACTGTCATTCGTTGTTTTAAGATGAAGATGGTAGATTGTCTTTAAAGATAGACTCTAACATCCCACCCTGCCCCAATACTCACATGTCACGCCTCCCATCAAGAAGTGGACTCTATTTCTCCTCCCCTTGAATCTGCACTGGCATGGTGAGTTGCTGTGACCAACAGAAAGTGGTAGAAGTGATGCTGTGCTAGTCCCAGCCTAGATCTCTAGATGCCATCAGCTTCTGCTATCATTGTTGCAGAGCCCTGAGCCTCCTGGTAGAAAAATCCAAGCAGTTCTGCTGGAGAGATGGGCTACAGAGAGAGAGAAAGAGAGAAACAGAGCACACAAGTTCCAGGATGTGAGATCATCTTATATATCCCAGCCCCAGTCAAGCTCCCAGCTGAATGCAGCCCATGAGTAACGCAGCCAACACTATGTGGAGCAGAGATGCACTGTCCCTGCAGAACTCTGCTAAGTTGCATAATTATAAATGAATAAGTCAGTTCAAGCCACTAAATTTGGGGGTGTTTGATCCACAAAGATAAATGACAAAGACATCTGGGTTCAACTAGAGGAAAAGTCATGACTGATGTGTGATGTCTGCCACAGCACATGGTGAGGGGTGTGGACTTCCATCCCTGGACTAGATCATGTCAAGGTCAGTGCCAATTCAATTCAATGCCAATTCGTGATTCTTCTGGGACCTTCTAGAAATGCAAGTTCCAGATTCAGAGGGAATCCATCCACCATCAGAGAGAACCCCAGCAGGGATCCAGTGGGGACCCTGGAAGGATTACATGAACCAATGAGGTAGCCCCTCTTGGGGCATATAAACAGTGACTTGGAAATAAAGTAGAGCAGTTGGTAGCAGGACTGGGAGCAGAAGGAGGTAGACATAGGAGACACTGAGCCCCATTGATAGTAGAACAGCTGAATGGGGGCTGCAGGCTCCTGCAGCCTAGGGGACAAAGATAATCCAGCCCTCAAGCCAACACATATCCCAAGAGCCTTCCAGGTCAAACACAAGGCTGGCTGGGCAGCTGGCACCTTCTCCCCTCCTAGTTAGCATCCACATCCTCAAAAATGAACCTCCTCTCTTACAGGGGGGAAGAGAAGGAGCCCTTGTGCTCCTTGCAGCCCATGAGCCAGACAAGCATGTCTCCCTAGCATGGGGCAGAGACAGAAAGGTTCTCATAACTAGAAATCACCAGTACCTGGGATGGAGAGACTCAAGCTGGGAAGTTAAACTCCTGGGGGATCATTCATTCCTGTTGAGCCTCCTACCAGGTGCCAGACACTTAACTCTTACTATCTCCTTCCATCCTAACTACTACCCTATGTACAACATGCCGCCATCCCCATTTCACAGATGGGAGAACCCCCTCGTTCAGAGTCAGCAGGTTCATAAGTGCAGGGACGTGAACGCAGTCTAAATGATGCCAAAGTCTGGTTCCTGGTTCGGTCCTGATAATCACTGAATACTCCCTGGTAAAGCCTCACTGGTTGCTACACTTGCATCCATTCTAATTGGTCAATACTCTGCTGAACCAACTGTCAATAGATGGCCACCTGAACTCCCAATATCTAAATTCGAAATTCAAGAAACAATCAGATGCAGACCAATGTCACTGTTAGACAGAATAACAGATCCCCAAAGATGTCCACATCCTAATCCCCAGAACCTGTAAATATGTCATCCTACATGGCAAAAGACACTTTGCAGACGTCATTAGGAATCTTGAGATGGTGGGATTATGCTGGATTACCCAGGTGAGCTCAGCGTCTTTAAAAATGAGACAGAGAGGCAGGAGAGTCAAAGTGATTTGATGTGACGAGGACTCAACCTGCGGTTGCTGGCTTTGAAGGCTGGGGAAGGGGACCATGAGTCAAGGAATGTGGCAGCCTCTAGAAGCTGGAAAAGGAGGGCAAACAGATTCTCCCCTAGGGCCTCCGGAAGAGATGCAATCTTTGATTTTAGCCCAGTGAAACCCATTTGGGACTTCTGACCTCCAGAACTAATAAGATAATAAGTTTGTGTTGTTTTAAGCCATTCGGTTTATGGTTATTGTTATAGCAGTAACAGGAAACATATACACTTGCTACCTGAATTCTTACTTCATATAACACTCAGGAATTCATAGATTCTGATAACTGTTCAAACCAATTCAGGTAACAAAGGATGGGCATTTGAGTGTCCCCTGCCCTTATTCCCCACCCCAAGTCATTTACTGAGCACCTACTCCAGGCCAAAGAACATGGCAGACACTCTCTCAACAACCCTGGGCAGGAGGAAACTGAGGCCTAAAGAGGTTATATGTATGTGACTTGCACATGCTCACAAAAACAATAGGTGGCCGGGCTCACCGCAAAAACATGCGGTGGCTCATGCCTGCAATCCTAGCACTTTGGGAGGCCAAGGCAGGTGAATCACTTGAGTCCAGGAGTTCAAGACCAGCTTGGGCAATGTGGTGAGACCCTGTGTGATGGTTAATACTGAGTGTCAACTTGATTGGATTAAAATATAATAAGTATTAATCCTGCATGTGTCTGTGTGGGTGTTGCCAAAAGAGATTAACATTTGAGTCAGTGGGCTGGGGAAGGCAGATCCACCCTTACTCCGGTGGGCACAATCTAATTAGCTTCCAGAGACTATAAAGCAGGCAGAAAAACCTGAAAAGGAGAGACCGGCCTAGCCTCCCAGCCTACATCTTTCTACCATGCTGGATGCTTCTTGCCCTCGAACATCGGATTCCAAGTTCTCCAGTTTTGGGACTCAGACTGATTCTCCTTGCAGATGGCCTATTGTGTGACCTTGTGATCATGTAAATTAATACTTAATAAGCTCCCCCTTTTTATATGTAGAGAGTGAACCGTAAGAGAACCCTCTAAGAGAACCCTGACTAATACATCCTGTCTCTACAAAAAATACAAAAACTAGCCAGACATGGTAATGCATGCCTATAGTCCCACCTACTCAGGAGGTGGGAGGATTACTTAAGCCCCAGAGGTCGAGGCTGCAAATGAGCTGTGATCATGTCACTACACTCCAGCCTGGGTGACAGAATGAGATTTTGTCTCAAAAAATAAAAAATAAATCAATAGGTGTCAAACCCAGGATTAGAACTCACATCTGCCAGACCACAGGGCCTGCCCTCTTCTCACTACACCACACCCTCTCTCCATTGACTTCCTGTTTCTCTGACCCCTGATTTCCAGGAGGAAAAACCAAGTGTGCTCACTGTTGTTTTTTGTACCCATCTCCCCACCCACCCACCTCCTTGCACAAGAGCTGCCCTCAGCAGGAACCCAGGGCTGGAATCTGAGGACCCATGTCCTATACCCCAAGAAAGCAGAACCGATTCTGACATTCTGCCTGGATAGCAGCTGACCTCCCTGCTGAGTCAGCCGCTGGTACTTCCAACATTGCCAGAGACTGTCTATGGTGAAGACAGTGAGGCCCAGGGCACTCTCCACCAGCAGAGCCCAAGACCTCTCCTTGGGGCCAGACATGGAGGCAAGAGACTAGCCCAAATGACATTTTCCAGTCTGGGAACCCAAGATCACAAGGCACCAGACACCCAGATGTGCAAAGGCCAATTTCAAAGCTCACTGTCCCAAAAATAAAAATAGAAATGCCTTCACTGAACTGACCACGTGCTGTACTCAGTGCTTGATGGATATGGACTCATTTAATCTCACCATAACCCTGACAGGCAGGTACTCATAGCATGCCCACCTTATGAATGAGGAAGCTGAGGGGCTCAGGAGGTTAAAGTTCAGAGCTGGGATCTCAACTCTGGAGCACTTGGATCTGGGATCTATCATCACCACAGTGTGCTACCAGCCAACGTCACCCAGACGTCAACATTTCTTTCTCTGATAGCACCACGTAGAATTACTGCCTCTTGATTCCATCTGACAGTGCAAGGATTTCTACTTTTTCTCATTCATACCTGTGTCCATTGCTGCAAAAATCTAGAGGTTCTAAAAAGAAATAACTGGTTTCGTGCTATCGCCTGAAACCAGCATGTCCTGAGTCCGGCGGCAGCTCAAAGTGGCTGCCAATAACAGGGGCTCCTCACTGCATCTCAGTCCTGGCCTACGGCCACCTCCTCAGCAGGGGCTATGGAAAAAGTGCTGGGCTGGAAGCCAGGTGTTTCAAGTCCTAATCTGGCCAAATGATCTTGGGAATGTCACGTAACCAATCAGGGCCTCACTTTCCTCATCTCTCAAATGGGTTCCACAAGGATAGGAATCCTGTCTTTCCATCGTTCTTGCCCTGTGGAGAGCCAGACGTGTAGTAGATGCTAATAAATGTTTGTTGAGTGAATTAATAAAAGTATATGTTACAAGTTTGTCTCTCCTCCCCTGAGGGCCTCAAAGACAGGAAGCAGGTCTGATTCATCTCATTTTCTCACAGTGCTGCAGCTGTTACTCCCACATGCATTTATTCACACAGGAAAGTGCTCCCAGGCACCCACTATGTGGCCAGCCCAGTTGAAGCCTCAGTGTCTTCCAGGACCACACAACACCCTCATGCACTGTCCCTTCTCTTTTACACAGCCAGTGGCTGTAATACTTGGTCACACTGTACTTCTTCACCCCAGGACCTAGGACAACCACCCAGCTGCCTTACAGTCAGCAGCCTTGGCCCATTCTGGGGAGTTTGAGCATGATTCCTGAGCTTTCACTTCCCTCATGCCCAGCCCTGGGGGAGCCCAGCCCAAGGAAAATCCCGACTCTAACCACACCATGTACACGTACATGAACACCAACATTCAAATGTGCAGTGGGGCCCTAGGACAGGAATAAGATGTTTTTCGTTCAAATCCCATTCTTTTGCTATGAGCTGTGTGACCTTAGGCAAGTCCCTTTAGCTCTCTGAGCCTCATTTTATTCACCTATAAAATGGGGATGATAGTCCTGAGGCCTTTCCATGTAGGCTTGTAGGGAGATTCAAGTAGATAATGGATATAAATACCTTTGGCTTAATAACCCGCAGCATGTTCTATCAAACCATTATTCTTATTTCCTTTTTCCAGGGGGAAAAGAGAATGGCAGTTGCCTATGTTTCAGAAAAATCCATGTTTAGGGGCCTGGAGTCTGGAAATTTACTTAGTATATTTGATGGGAATTACCTTGAGGATAGGTGATGTTGTGAGTCCAACATCACCATGTTAACTAAGATTGACTAATGGAAATGTAGACTTAGAATCAAAGAATGGAAGCAACCCAAGAGGTCACCACATTTGTGACAGAGACAGGTAGCTGTCCACAAAAATTCATTCTCCCTGTCCACAATACACGACTGTGGCTGGGAAAGAGCTGCTCTTTGCCAAGAACCTCATATCCTTGTAACTCCATGTCCTGGCCTCCTTTGCAACTAGATTGGCCACATGATAGTTCTCATGTGAGTGGAAGTCATGTCTGCTGCTTCCAGGCCAAAGCAGATAAGCAAATATGCCACCTCCATACTTTCTTTTGTCTTGTGCACCTGGCTGCAGACAATGAGGATATCTGAGGAGAGAGTGGGACCACCAGATGAGTCACTGAAGTACCATGAGGAAGAGGACCACCCTCCATTCAGAAATACTTGCCTTATAATAAAGCTCTGCTTTGCTTCAGCCCTTATGCCTTTGGGGACCTATTTGTTACTGCAGCTACTACCCTAGCTGATATACCATTCGACCTCCTTATTTACAGATGAAATTATTGTGGCCAAAGAGTAAGAGTGCCTTGCCAAGGTCACACAGTAAGCTCAACAAATGTCTAGAACTTTGGTCTCTTAACTCCTTGGAGTAGAGGAGTTGCAGTTTCCTGCCTGCCCCATGGAGCTACAAAGATTCTTAGAGGCCCTTCAGCAACAAGAGTGAGATTTAGTGGCAGCCTGGAGTCTTCCACCTCTGTTTCAACAAGAATAACACCACCTTTATCTGTTTTCAAATTACACTTCCCCATAAGACTTTCATTTGTGGAAAGGATTCTGCAACTGAAAATAATTTCAAAGCCTCCATGCTGGGGGATTGCTAACACGATCTGACTTTCTGTGGTACTATAAGACAAAGTTTCGCTTCTTCTCTGCCAAACCTTCTGGCCTCAACTGCTGACACGGAACATGTGGATTCACAGAAGTACATGAATATTTGCTTAGAAGGGAAAAAAGAAACCTTATTGTGCAGCAAAGAACCCAAGACCCCAGTGTGAACAAAGGGCAAAAAGGAAAGACTTTTAAGCACTCTAGGTTGGTAGTTCTCAAGTTTTGGGGTGCATCTGAATGACCTGGGGTGCTGGTTCAACATGCAGACACTGAAGCCTCATCCACAGAGATTCTGATTTCCAAACTGAAGCTTTAAGAAACACTCACAATTGGCCGGGCGCAGTGGCTCACGCCTGTAATCCCAGCACTTTTGGAGGCCGAGGTGGGTGGATCACAAGGTCAGGAGATTGAGACCATCCTGGCTAATACGGTGAAACCCCGTCTCTACTAAAAATACAAAAAATTAGCCGGGCGGGGTGGTGGGTGCCTGTAGTCGCAGCTACTTGGGAGGCTGAGGCAGGAGAATGGCGTGAACCCGGGAGGCAGAGCTTGCAGTGAGCCAAGATTGCGCCACTGTACTCCAGCCTGGGCGACAGAGCGAGACTCCATCTCCAGGAAAAAAAAAAAAAAGAAACACTCACAATTATTCTAATGCAGGTGGTCTAGAGATTGCACTTTGAGAAGCTCTGAGTCTACTTCATAGCCTCGCAACTGGCGGTAATGTCTGCACCCATGTGGTGTAGCTCAAAGAGAATGAAATAAGCTTTTGGTTTTCTTGTACATCAGTGGGAATAAGAGCATTAATAATCCACTAAAGAAATCAATAATAATTTCCATTTGGCTCAGATGAGTGTCACAGGTATAGACAGGCACAGTGGAATAGAAATGATCATCAGAACAATAGCTAATGTTTATAGAGACCTTATTTTACAACAAATCCTCTGCTTACAGCTTTACTTGTATGATCTCATTTACTCTTTAGAATAATCTTATGAGGCAGTTACTGATCATATTCCCATTTTATAGATGAGGAAACTCAGGCACAAAGATGAGGAATAACTGATTCCATGTCACTCAGTTGGCAGGTGGCAGGCCAATTCAAGCCCACCCCCAGAGTGATAATAATATCAAATAATATCATCCTTATTTACAGATGATATTATTGTGGCCAGAGAGTGGGAGTACCTTGCCTAAGACCAAGGTGCCCCTTCTTGCACAATGTTCTACTCCCTTTTGTGGGGAGGTCTAGCATCAGAACTCTCCAGGCTTCTGTTTCCTAATCTGTAAAATGGGCATGTTAATAGTACCTTCATCATGTGGCCATGGTGAGGATTTGATAAAATCATCTCGAGAAAGTGGTTTGCAAACTGAGAGGAGTTATTAGGTAAACATCTAAGAGATGGGACTTCAGTCCAACTTCCCCCACCCCATTTTACAGATGGTGAAACTGACACCTGGTTACTTTATTTATTCCATGAACAATGACCCTAATATATGCTAGTTCTTGTGCAGGGGACTGAGGATGCAGAAAAAAAGTAATATCCCAGATCTGGCCTCTAGGGGCCTCCCGGCTAGAAGGAGAGACAGACAAGATGACTGGTCATTAGAACACGGTGTGGTAGGAGCCGTGATAAGGGAGGGATAGGCCCTGGGAGAGCCTAGCAGACAAGCCCTGACCCAGTGCGGGTAGGGGACTTCTCAGAACAAGTCAAGCCAGAGAAAGGCATGACTTGCCCAAAGTTAAGGTTATCTGTTCCCTGAAGTTTTGGGGGAGTCCAAAGAAGGCCCCTGTGCATCAAGAGATAACTCTCCTGTGGACCTCCCAAGTGTATGACACATCATCATTTGAGTGCCACTGGTTTAGGTTAAAGAAAAGGCCAAGCTGCCTCCTCCTGCACCAGAGGCCTGAATGACCCAGTCACACTCACCTCAGCAGCCAAGGCATTTAGAGGAATCTTACCTTCAAACCAGTTTGGAAGGGGCAGGAGATACAGCAAGAACCACAGAGAAGATTGGTCTTGAGAAGGAGGTAGGGGATGCAAAAGGGAAGTTGAGGGCTTTCCCTAATAGAAAAAGAAAGACTCAGAACCTGGACGTTCAGGCGTGTGACCTCAGACCAGTGATCTGGCATCTCTGAACCGCACAGGTCTGAGTGATTGGGCTTATATCAAGTAGTAGTTCCCTGATGTTGTAATGCTTATAATTTTGCCAAAGCTGGCTTGCCCATTTAAAATGGGCTATTCTGAAGACAGAGGAGGGAGTGGAATATTTTCAACAGAGAGTGCCGGCAAAGGTTTTGTGTCCTTTATATACAAAGAACCCTTAGATATCAATTGGAAAAAGATAAACATGCCCCCAGAGGAGAAAAAAATGGGAACAGACTTGAACAGGAGAGTCAGACTAGAAATGTGAAAAATAAGTTTATAAAAGAGAATCAACACTAACAAAGAAATGAAATGCCTATTGAAGCATCTAGATATTATTCTCGACTTCACATCAGGGAAAGTTTAAGGGATGGGTAGCAACAAGGTGGGTTTAGTATGTGAGAATACTGTGCCCTGGTATAACATCGTAGAGAGGTCAAGCTGCCACGGCCTTCCAGGGTGCAGTGTGACCAAAAGCTCAGAAGTCTTAAAAATAGGCAAACCTTAAATCTAGCAATTTCTAAAAGGTATTCATAAGACACACACACAAAGATGTCATACTAAATATTCATTGCAGCACTGTTCTAATAAAAAAAAAGAAGCAAATCTATTATGGAAAAGTCAAATAATCTTAAGATAGCCTTTCTATGCAGCCATGAAAAATGTATATTGGAAGAATATAGGTGATATGGAAAAAAGTTCACAATCTGTGGTTAAGCAGGTTACCAAACTAGATGTGGAAATCCACATTCATATATTTAGTTGTGTATCCTTGCTATTTCTTTAAACAATGAACATGCATTACTTTTGACATCTGAAAATAATAACAAAACTCTTCCTTTTAACAAATATGAAATTATAAAAAGAAACAAACTTTTCTCTCTGTTAGTATTCATTCCCCTTCCCTGGCCCCCCTCAGAAGACACCCAAGGCAAGTGTGTGATGATACCTTCCCTCTGGTCTCTGCCCGGAAGGTCTTCCTGAGGGTTCCCTGTGACTGCAGGCCACTCGAGGCTGTTGGGGAGACTTGCACACCCTGGCTTCTTTCTGCCAATCACAGGCTCCTCTGGCTGTGGCTGTTTGCCCAGAAAGCAGTTCATTCATTTGTTCATTCAAGATCCCCCTCTGAACCCCCAGAGCGCCGCAGCTGGAACACCCCTATCACCCGGAGGCTTCCCAGGGAGCCTGCTCTGTCCTGAGCTCCCTGCTGGCCGCCGGGGCTGCTTCCCTGAATGGGACTGGGACAGAACTCAGCCAGAGAAACAGCTGGAGGGAGGAGAGCAGGAGGGAGGGGCAGGAAACTGGGCTGACCTAGGGCGGGGGCGGCTAGCTGCGTGGAGAGGGGGCTGCGAGGGGAGGGTGCCCCTACCAGCCGGGGACTGGGCTTGTGGGTGGCGGCGGGGGCCCGCTGGGGACGACCCGCCCCTCTGGCAGCCTCTTGCAGCCGGGGAGCCGTGCCCACTGAGCGCAAACAGGGAGCACATCTGAGCACCCGGCTGCTGGGGGAAGTGCAAGCGCCTCTGCTCCCGGTGAGGGGCTCAAGCTCCACACTGACCGAGAGATTGGCTGCCTCTCACCCTGGGCCTTTGCAACGCTGTTCCTCCCACCTGGATGCTATTCCTGCCCTAATTCGTGGCCCGATGGTCTCCTACTGCCTCTTCAGGTCTCAGGTTGAAGGTCACCTCCCAGGGAAGCCTTCCCCAACCCTCGGGGGCTGCTGTGCCCCTCAGGGTCACCCCATCACCTCACTGATGCAGTGCTGTCCTTGCCTGTTAAGATGTCTCTCTCCTTGCACCGAGAACTCCTTGCACCAGGAACTCTGTAGGGAAAGAACTGTATTCTGTTCCCTGCCCTAACCAGGCGCTAAGTGCCTGGTTCATCGGCTGTGTGGTCACCATCATTAGTGGAATAATCAAAACAACCGACAGCCAGGCAGCGTGCTAGGCGATGCGTACTTACTCTTCACGGCAACCCTAGATAACAGGAATTATTACTACTCCAGTCTTACCAATAAGGAAACTGGGGTACAGAGAGATTAAGTCACTTGCTCAAGACCACACCGCCAGCAGCTGACAGAGCTGGGATTCCAACTATGTTGTCTGGCTCGGAGGCCCACCCTTGGCCTCCAGACTGAAGAAATAACAGAAGTGCCCATGTGGGCCCCTGTGCCAAGTGCTTCCATGGAGTAAGCCGTGTGAACCACCACCCACGTCGGGGGGGCATCACTTGCCCATTCTACACATGAGGATGCTAGGGCCACAGAGCAGAAGTCGTTTTGCCCAGGGCGCCAAGCTCATGCTGACCGAGCCATGGCTGGATCTGAGTCTGTCTGATTCCAAAGCCAAGACTGCCTACGACTGCCTAAAATAATATTTTTAGAAAGAAAAAGAAAAGGGAAGGGCAGGGGAGGGGAAGAGAGGGGAAGGGAGGAGAAGAAAGAAAGGAAGAAAAGGGAGGGCAGGGAGGAAGGTAATGGGGAGGAGGGGAAGGTGAAGGGAGAGGGAGATGGGGAGGGAGGGAGAGAAGGAGAGAAACCTGTGTTTTGGGCCTCAAAGTCTTGGGCAGGTGGAGGACTATGTCCTCATCGTCTGATCAGCCTTAGAACCCCACCGACCTCTCCCCACCATCCTCAATCCTTTAATTCAGTGAGCTTTACACTTAGAAACCATCTAATTTCATTCTTCCATTTCACAGATAACTTGAAGCCCAGAGAGATTGAGTCTCTTGCCTGAGGTCACACAGGTCTCTATAGTCAGAAGTCAGGCCCAGTCTACCCAACTGTCTTCCTTGCTCTCTTCTTCTTTGGGCTTATCTAGGGAACAAAACATCATATCGAAACACTTACTGTACAGATGAGAACACTGAACCCAGAGGAGGCAAGGGACTCACCCAAGGTCACCCAGAAGTTAGTAATTGTATTGGTCCGTTCTCACACTGCTGTGAAGAAATACCCAAGACTGGGTAATTTATAAAGAAAAAAGGTTTAATTGACTCACATTTTCGCATAGCAGGGGAGGCCTCAGGAAACTTACAATCATGATGGAAGGTACCTCTTCACAGGGTGGCAGGAGAGACAATGAGTGCCAGGCAAAGGGGGAAGCCTCTTATAAAACCATCAGATTTCATGAGAACTCACTCACTATCATGAGAACAGGATGGGGGGAAAACCACCCCCATGTTCAATTACCTCCCACCTGGTCCCTCCCATGACTCGTGAGGATTATGGAATTCCAATTCAAGATGAGATTTGGGTCGGGACACAAAGCCAAATCATGTCATTCCCCAGGTTCTCCTGGTGAAAGGAGAGGATATTTCCATAACGTGGCAGGGATCTTGTATATCACCATCTAATAGAGACCAGAGGTTCCTAAAGTCTAGTTTCCATACCAACCCCAGCAGCCTCACCCAGAAGTTTGTTAGAAACACAAACCCTTGGGCCTCACTGCAGACCTTGGCAATCAGAGACTCCAGGAAGCCATCTGGGTTTTAAGAAGCCCTCCAGGGGATTCTGATGCTTGCTCAAGTTTGAGATCCACTGACATAGGCATTTCAATTAGGAATCCATTGAAATGGGCCCTGGAACAAGTCACCTTGCCAATGCACAGAATAGTGGCTAAGAACAGAGGCTTTGATAGCAGACGGACCTGGTTTGAATTCCTGTCGCTGTCACTGTAAGCTGTGTGACTTGGGCAAGGCCTTTCACCTTTGGAGTCTCAGTTTCCTCATCTGCTGTGGACAGTGGAAGAGGAAGAGGAGGAAGAGGGAAAGGGAGGAGGGAGAGGAAAAGAGGAGGAGGGAAAAAGGAGAGGAGGAGGAGGGAAAGAGGAGAGGAGGAGGAGGAAAAAGGAGGGGCCAAGTAGAGGAGAGGGGAGGGGGAGGAGGAGGAGGGAAAGGGAGGAGGGATATGAAAAGAGGAGGAGGGAAGAGGAGCGGAGGAGGAGGGAAGAGAAAGAAAGGGGAGGAGGAGAGGGTGGGGGAGGAGGAGACGAGGAGGAGGGAGTAAGGAGGAGGAGGGAAAGGGAGGAAGGAGATGAAAAGAGGAGGAGGAAGGAGGAAGAGAGGAGGAGGAGGGAAGAGGAGGGGTCAAGGGGAGGAGAGGGGAGAGGGAGGAGGAGAAGAGGGGGAGGGGGTAAGGAGGAGGAGGGAAAGGGAGGAGGGAGATGAAAAGAGGAAAAAGAGGGAAGAGGAGAGGAGGAGGGAAGAGGAAGAAAGGGGAGGAGGGGGTCAGAAGGAGGAAGGGGGAAAGAGAAGAAGGGGAGGAAAGGGAGATAAAGGAGAGGGGAGGAGAAGAAGGAGTGGGGGAGAGGAGGGAGAGTGGGAGAGAAGAGAAGGAGGCCAGAAGGCAGCCTTCGAGGAAGATCAAGCACACGGGTACTATGGAAGAGGAGCTGGGTAAATCCAGCCCGGGGATGGACTCCTGGACATGCCTCTTCCTCCCTGGAGGTGGCTGTGGCTGTGGCATGCCTCCCTCTGCCTCTGGCCTCCCAGCCAAACCTAAGCTCGGGTCTCATCAGCTAGGAGCCACAACTGGCAGAGCAAGGACACTGGTCCCCCAGCCAGCTGGGTCCCTGGGTGGCTGGCAGAGGAGGTGGGAACCCACAGCCCCACTGGGCCAGTGAGGAAGGCGTGGGGCTGCCTGGCTTATGACTCTCCACCTGGTGGCTGTGGGACAATCTGAAGCCACGGGCCTTTGGCCATCCCTTTTGAACAGGGCTGAACAGTTTGGCTTTTCTTTCTTGGAGCAAAAAGTGTTTGTTGTTGCTTGTGGGGGTTTTTATGCTTTTGTTTTAAAGAGGATTTTGAAATCTAAGGGCTGACCTGGGGATACTGGGACTTGAGAGAGAAGCAGTCTCCTCCAGGACCCTCAGAGGAACCTCTGTGTACACCCCTGGCAGCTCCACATAGAATCAGGATGGAGGGTCAAGCTTCCTTTTGAGGTCCAGCTCGGGTTGACTGGTTCTTGATTCCTGGAGCTCTGTGTTAAAGGGAATCTGAGGCCACATCCTGGCCTGGCTGCAAGGAACTCAGTGATCCGTGAGCAATGCCTGCCCTGGACCTGGAGTGGGAGGAGGGTTGCCTTTCTCATCCCATGCTGTCCTCCAACTAAACTCTGTCCCATTGGCGCAGGGTGGACTGGTTCAGCAGGGACTGGTTCCACCCCTACCACTCCCTCTCCTGGTACTGGCTGTGCCTAGTGTAATGGAGCTTATATCTCATTCCCAAGCCACTGGGTAGCTCCTTCCGGCAGATCTTTAGTGTTCACAGATTCCTAACACTCTACTTAAAGCTGAACGGTTTCCCCAGCCTCCCTGATCATCAGTGGCTAAACTAGGCTCAGCAGAGAGGCTCCCAACCAAAGGAGGTCTTCAAAGATGCATCCTGCCACATGAAGGATCCTCTCTAAGTCCAAACTCTGCCTACTTTGGACTTTCTTTAAGGCATAGACAGGCCACATGGGAATGAGAGCTCCTCTATTTCAGCCAAAGATGGGCTGTGTGACCTTGGGGGACTCATATACCTTCTCTGGTTCATTCAGTGCTCAATAGATGCTTACTGGACCCCATCTCTGTGGCAGGCACAGGCTGGTGAACAAGACAGCCATGCCCTATGCTCAGGAAGCTGGCCTGCTGGAGAATTCATTTTATTTATTTATTTACTTTTTTAAAAAATTCTTTTGAGACTGAGTCTCCCTCAATCTGTTGCCCAGGCTGGAGTGCAGTAGCAAGATCTGGGCTCACTGCAAGCTCAGCCTCCTGGGTTCAAGTGATTCTCTCACCTCAGCCTCCCAAGTAGCTGGGATTATAGGCACGCACCATCACACCTGGTAAGTTTTGTATTTTTAGTAGAGATGGGGTTTCGCCATGTTGGCCAGGCTGGTCTCGAACTCCTGACCTCAAGTGATCCTTCCACCTTGGCCTCCCAAAGTACTGGGACACAGGCGTGAGCCACCGCGCCCAGTGAAACTCCCCATTTTAAATGAGATATGATGCTTTCTAAGAACCCCTTAATTACCAGGAAAGATTCTCAGGCAGGCTAGGCATGGTGCCTCACGCCTATAATCCCAGCATTTTGGGAGGCCAAGGCAGGACAATTGCTTGAGGCCAGGAGTTCAAGACCAGCCTGGCCAACATCGTGAAACCCTATCTCTGCTAAAAAAGATAATAGCGAAGCATGGCAGCACATGCCTGTAATCCCAGCTTTTTGGGAGGCTGAGGCAGGAGAATTGCTTGAACCAGGAGGTGGAGGTTGCAGTGAGACAAGATGGCACCACTGCACTCCAGCCTGGGCCACCACGCAAGACTCTGTCTTAAAAATAATAATAAAAATAAAAATAAAAGATTCTCAGGCAACTAACACGTCCTGAAGATGCAAGCAGCCTTTAAAAGAGCAGAGGGCAAAATAGGCTGGAAGACTGTGACAGGCAGAATAATGGTCCCCCAAGATACCCACATCCCAATCCACAGAACCCGAGAATATGTTACCTATGTTACCTTAGGTGGTAAAAGGGAAAGGATTTTGCAGATGTGATTGAATTACAGATCTTGAGATGGGGAGATTAGCCTGGATCATACAGGCGAGCCCAGTGTCCTATTAAGAGTCCTATTAAGAGTAAGGCAGGAGATCAGGGCAGGGAGAAGGCAGTGGGGTGATGAAGGAAGCAGAGATTTACTGATGTGACCAGGAGCCAAGGAGTGTGGGCAGCCTGCAGACACCAGAAGAGGCAAAGAACAGATTCTCCCCTGCAGCCTCCAAGAGGAACCAGCCCTACGAAAACTTTGATTTTAGCCCATGAGGCTCATTTTGGACTTCTGAGCTCCAGAACTGTAGGGATACAAATCTGTATTATTTTAAGCCACTAAGTTTGTGGTGATTTATTCTAGCAGCAGTAGAAATCTAATACAAGAGCTGTTTCAAAGAAGACCAGAACATTGGGCTTGGGGGCAGGCAGATCTGGGTTTGAGTCTCTGCTCCACTTGCTAGCTGTGTGGGCTTGTGCAATTTCCTAACCTCCCTGAATCTAATAGAGTCCCTACCTCAAAAGGTTGGTGGGAAAATTAGAGTTGATACACATAACATGCTTAGAAAACTGTCTAGCCCAACTGTCATGTAGTAAATATTGGATTTCCACCCCCTTCTATTGAGCATTAAAAAGGCCACATACCTTGTGCAGGAGGTGGGTTTTATGAGGGGGAAAAAGGCCACATTCCCAAATGCAGGCCCTCAATTGTGTCTTGGGACACGCAGAACTGGCCATCCTGACGTTCTATTTTGTTTTGTGTCACTCCACTGCTCAACAACATTTCATGGCTCCCTATTACAGTGTCTTGATTCTGGTCTATCAAAATCCCCCATAACCTGGTTCTTGCCAACCTCATCTTCCAAGATGGAGAAAAACTAAAGGGATGGCACAGCTGGAGAGAAACCTAGGGGGAGCAGGACCTTCAGAGGTCAGCTGAAATGTCACTTTCTCCCAACCTCTCATGGCACCCTGACCTCCACCACAGCACCATCCTCAATCGTAATGCCATGATGATGTGTGCAAAGTATATTTCCTCCCTCCACACCTAAAGCTCCAGGGGGACAGGGACTGGGGACAGGGATTGGGCCAGGGACGAAGAAGCTGCTCAATACATGTATATGTTAAATGAATGAATAAATGGACGGCCAAAGTCAGCAACCAACTCAGGCCAGCTGGGCCAAGGACACAGGGGAGCCTTCCTGAAGTCTGAGTTCTAGTTCTTAGCCACAGAGAGGACTGCAGTTACCAAGACAGGAAAGTTGAGCATTGAGCTGTCACCAGACACGTGCTATGCCCCCAGACAAATATTTTATTGGAAACAGGATTCAAGTCTGTGCAGTGTGTTTCAGGAACTGTGAGAGTTACTTCTGTCCTATAGACCAGGCTCAGAGAAGGAGGGGGAAGGAGGAGGGAGTTTCTTAAGGACTTGGAGACTGAGGTGGAAAGACAGACAATTGTGAAGTTGAGGTTTTGGAACTGAGAAAGAGAAACAGAAGGAAAAAACTGGCAGCCTAGTCTGTTCTGTCCATTAGATGAGCATCCAGGCCCCCAGACTTTTGTCCAAGCTGGAAAGGGTTAACAGCACTGAAGGGTTAATGGCCCTCAGTGAGGATGGGAGTCAGGAGGCCCCACCTCTAAGGCCAGCAGAGGGGTTTTCTCTGATGGGGGAGGGCAAGGCCCACTGCTCTCTGGTGAGCCCTGGGGACCCCACCTACCCAGCCCCTTCTGAAAAAGGTAGTTTTCCACTCTGGGGGTGGTGGGACCACCCTGGATGCCTGGGAGGGGTCGGAGGGCTGGGCAAGGTTGCTCTAGAGCATTTTTCCTGGACCCCAGACTGGGATGGGAGGAGCTCGGAGCTGATGAGACCTGTGGCTGTTCCCCAGCACTCAGGTGACGTCCAACTGCACATAGCTTCGTTCTGCGAAAGCTTCCATTTCTGGGGGGTGAGAGACATGCAGTGGGGAGA
The DNA here is from genome assembly GCF_000001405.40 of Homo sapiens. Classification (NCBI taxonomy): domain Eukaryota; kingdom Metazoa; phylum Chordata; class Mammalia; order Primates; family Hominidae; genus Homo; species Homo sapiens. Next base: position 108,346,564 of record NC_000012.12, read on the forward strand.
GACATGGGGAATGGAGGCCCAGAGAAGTTTAGTGACTGCCCAAAGCCACACCGCAAGTCTTGAGCAGCTGATCTAATCTCCCAACTCCCAGAGAACTCCACCAGCCCCCATTTCACACACACAGACACAGGGGCTTCTGGTGGCCTCACCCCTGGCCATCCCCCTAGCTGCATGGCCTACCTCTTCCCCTCCTACTCTGAACCTATCATGCAATTTAAAGACTCCACACCTTTGTTAGAACTGCCCCTTTGGCCAGATATACCCTCTTGCTACCATGTGCCCAGCCACCAAGTAACCTCCTGGTCATCTTTCAAAATCTAGCTCAGATGTCCTGTCCTCCAGGCAGCCTTCCAGGATTGTTTCTTCTCTTCCCATCTACCTGATCATCCTTCTGCCAAGCATATCTGTACTTGGCCAACACATTCATGCTTTCTCAAATCACACTGCTTTTTCGTTTCACCATGTGTGCATCTGTCTCTGCCCCCTGGACTGCCACCGCCCACCAGGTCTCTCCCCCAACATTGGGAATTGCAATTCAACATGAGATTTGAGTGGGACACAGAGCCAAACCATATCAAAATCCTTAGACCCAAGTCCTGGGGCACCTCCACAGCCACCAGTCTCTGGCTTTCTTTTTAAAGGACCCCTTTTTCCCAGAAGAATCCATATGGAGCCCCAAAATACAAGGCGTACAGAAATGGACCTGCTTAGTTAAGGAAGACAGGGACAGTGGAGCCACTTCTTTCGACATGCTGGGTCCCCTGGGGTCATCCCAGGCTTCATCTGAGCACAGCTCAAAGTCTCCCAATTAATCCGACACCCGCTCTTCCCACCACCACCTGGGGTGTGGGGAAGACTTTTCATTTTTACATAATTTCAAACTTACAAAAAAGTGGCAAGAATAGTACAAGAAACTCCATTATAGGGAGTTTATATTTATTAAAATATATTTATTAAAGTATTTAAAATAATATTTTATTTATTAAAGTATTTTAAATAAATATTTTATGTAGTAGAATATTTTAAATAAATATTTTATTTAATAAACTATTTTAAATTTATATTTATTAAAATATTTTAAATTTATATTCATTTATTAAAATATAAATAATTGGCAACTGAGGGTAAATATAAACTTAAGAACTTCTTGTAAAATATATATTTTGTAAATTATATATTTTGTAAATATATATTTTGTAAAATATATATTTTGTAAATATATATTTTGTAAAATATATATTTTGTAAATATATATTTACAAAATATATATTTTGTAAAATATATATTTTGTAAATATATATTTTGTAAAATATATATTTACAACTATACATATTTTGTAAAATATATATTTACAACTATACATATTTTGTAAAAATATATTTACAACTATACATATTTTGTAAAAATATATTTACAACTATACATAGTTTGTAAAAATATATTTTGTAAAATATATATTTTGTAAATATATATTTTGTAAAATATATATTTACAACTATACATATTTTGTAAAATATATATTTACAACTATACATATTTTGTAAAAATATATTTACAACTATACATATTTTGTAAAAATATATTTACAACTATACATAGTTTGTAAAAATATATTTACAACTATACATAGTTTGTAAAAATATATTTACAACTATACATAGTTTGTAAAAATATATTTACAACTATACATAGTTTGTAAAAATATATTTACAACTATACATAGTTTGTAAAAATATATTTACAACTATACATAGTTTGTAAAAATATATTTACAACTATACATAGTTTGTAAAAATATATTTACAACTATACATAGTTTGTAAAAATATATTTACAACTATACATAGTTTGTAAAAATATATTTACAACTATACATAGTTTGTAAAAATATATTTACAACTATACATAGTTTGTAAAAATATATTTACAACTATACATAGTTTGTAAAAATATATTTACAACTATACATAGTTTGTAAAAATATATTTATAACTATACATAGTTTGTAAAAATATATTTATAACTACATATATTTTGTAAATATAAATAATATGGTAAGTTTATATTTATAAATATAAATTATTTATATTTACCAAATATAAACAATTTGCCAATTATTTGTATTCTATCCCATCGATTTCACCCTTATATCCTCTTTCTCCTTCCTCTTTCTCCCTCTCTATCTCCAACTTTCTACATATTTTATCCTGAAACACTCCCATTTTGCATATGGGTAAACTGAGGCCCCAGGAGTTGCTTGGTGCTCCTGACCCTGGCCCTGCCCCCATGGCCCCACACTTGGGGCCCAGAACCTGGAGCCCACCAGCTTGTTAAGGGCCTGCAGAGATATCTGAAACCTGTAATCATAAGCGAGTTGGCCCCAGAACACCAAAAGGAAACTGCGACATCAAAATTAATAAACGTCTGGTTCAACGTCTGCAATACATGAGTGAATCAGCTGCACCTCCACGGCCCTCCTGTCGTTGGAAATAGAAGAGCACAAGTCACGAGAACACGATGAATAATTTATTCTTCATAAAAGCCCAGATTGTATGAACTATTTTAAAACCTTTCCAGATATTTTTATAAGAAACACGCATTTTGAGGTTCACCATGATGTGGGGTGGGGTCCCCAAATGTCAGAGATCCCAGAGCCTTCAAAGACTTTAAAACAAGCTCTCCTTGCCTCATATCTTGATCCTCACTTGAATCGGGCATAAGATGGAGGTTTTTCCATGTATTTTTACAACGAGGCTGTATGTACCTTTTTATGTGGGTCATAAAAAAAAATAAAAAATTTTCAAAAACACGGAGCAACACGAGGAATTCGTCATAGCAACGGGGCTGCCTTTCCTATTTTTGAAAAGTAAGCTTCCCCCTCCTCCTCTTAGTACAGAAAGTTTATTTTCCTGTGGGAGCCTCTGACTCAGGACTCAGGCTGCTGCCACTGCAGAGAGATGGGAGAAGTGGGGGCGCTGGCCCTGGGCCTGGGTGGGTGAGGCCCAGGGACTGAGTTTATTTGCTCAGGGGTCCCAGGCCTCAGATCCCTCTACTGGCATCTGAGCTAGGAACCTGACGCCCGGGGAATTCTGGTCACCACCTGGGCCTCCTGCTCTGCTCATCCACGCACCCCACCACCCAGGCCGGCCTCCTTAGAAAGCCCTCACCTTATAGTGGCACAGCTACCAGAGTTGTACCAGTTCTGTAAATATTAAAATATTTCCTGATCAGTTGGTTAAACCGCAGTTACACAGGATCGTCTCCTGGGACCAACCCATGATCCAGGAAAAAAAGGGGTATCGCTTGTTAGCTAGGAGCCCAGGGTCCTCATGTAAGGCTACGTTGTTATTAGTCAGGGCCCAAGCCCTATCAGATGATAAATGGGATATTATTGTAGCGTGTGTGGGCTTCAAAATAGCAACTGGGGGAGGTAGAGGGCACAGTGTAGGTTTGAATCCTGCCCTCATACTTGACAGCTATGTGACCTAAGTCAAGTGGCTTAACCTCTCTGTGCCTCAGTTCCCTGATGGGCGTAATAATAGTAATAGCAGGTTGTGGTGGGGATGATTTGTGTTAATCAGTATGCCTTCATCCATTTGGGCTTCTGTAACAAAATATCATAACTGGGTTGCTTACAAACAACAAACATTTATTGCTCACAGTTCTAGAGGCTGGGAAGTCCAAGGTCAAGACACTGGCAGATTCAGAGTCTGGTGAGGGTCCTTCCTCATAGCCATCTTTTCACTGTAACTTCATGTCAGAGTAGGGGAGGTCCTCTCTGGGGTCTCTTGTAAGGGCACTAATCCTAATCAAGACAACACAATCACCTCCCAAAAGTCCTCACCTCCTAATACCCTCACCTTGGGGGTAAGGATTTTAACATATGAATTTTTGGAGGGACACACAACATTCAGACATTAGCACTGTAGGAGGCACTTAGCATAGTTCTCAGCACATAGAAGACTCTCAAGAAATGTTCTCATTATGTATTATTAGTTGATACTTGTAATAATTTAATAACAATATCATTATGTCTCTAACCTCCCATCCTTCATAATACTTTTTGTAACCATTTCTTAGGAACAAAGCAATGAAATCAGAATCTCTGCTCCATCAGTTACTAGCGGCGTGGCCTTGGGCAAGTTATGAAACCTCTCTGAAACTGATTCATCTTCTGTGAAATGGGGATAATACCATAAACACATAGCTCAGCTCCTGGCTCACGGTGAGTGTTCATTCCTAAAAAGTATTATAATATTATCAGGGGTAGGAAAACTATAGCCCAAGAGCCAGATTTGGCCCACTGCCTGTTCTTGTAAGGGAAGTTTTATTGGAACCCACAACCATGCCCATTCATTTATGCATTGTCTGTGGCCGTTTCCACACTGCAACCATGGGCTGAGAAGTTGCAACAACAGACTGCATGGTTCACAAAATCCTCAAATATTTACTCTCTGGTCCTTTAAGAAAAAGTTTGCCAACACTTGATTTTGATTATTGTAAGCTTCTTTAATAGCAATAATTGCAGTACATACTACATTTCAGTTCCCTCAGTGGACTACACAAGGTAAGGTTTGCTTTCTAGGGACTACCAGTGACCCATGATTGTCCTGCAATGATTCAAACCCCTCCTCAAATTGTTCACCATAGTGTATGGGGAAAGAGTCCAGAGCTTTTCAAAGGAGGCTGTGACCGATGAGAAGCCCATAATCACAGGAACATAAGCATCTGAGGAGCTGGCCCATGCTGAAATCGACACCTCCTCCATTTTCCCAGGCTTACCTGTTCTCGGACAGTCCCACTCCAAGACACCCAGGGTTCATAAATAAGGTTTTGTTTTGTGCTCCTTTAGTGCCTGCTCTGCAGCAGCTGGCTGCCTCCTGGTCCATACATTTCCACATTCCTTTTGTGTGATGTTGAGGAGAGAGAAAGGAAATGGGAGCCCCAAGAAGTTACCTAGCATTCAGCAAAAGAAACCTGTGAATCACACACGCCAAAAAGATGTCACTCGCCCCAGAAATCACTCACCCCAGAAAGATTCCTATATCTGCTCAGATGCATTCCTTCAGGACGCAGGTGAGAGAATCTCCTCTTTCTCCTTGGTTTAATAGGATTTTGGTTGTGTGATGTAGAAAACACCACAAAGTGTCACCACAGACCTTCCAGATGTTGAAGATGTTTGTGGCTACACTCGTTGGCTTTGTTGCACACCCACAGATGTCCCCCCTTGGTTTCCACCAGTCTAGGTGTATTTGTTCCTAAACCCTTAATTGGGCCCTGATGTCATCTAAAAGACCAGGCTGGACTCAGTCACCTGCAACACCCGTCTTCATTGGAGGTTCCCAAGGCTGGTGTGATCCAGGCATGCTGACACCACAAGGGCCCCACTGCCTGCATGCCTCTCTCCTGCTCATTTCATCCTTGATTCTTCCTGGCCCGCTGTTTTTGTCTTTTCTTTCTTTCTTTGTATTTATTTATTTATTTTACTTTTTTAAAAAATCAGATTCATTTTTTTAGACACGGAGTCTGGCCATGTTGCCCAGGTTGGTCCCAAACTCCTGGTCTTAAGCGATCCTTCCACTTCAGCCTCCCAAAGCACTGGGATGACAGGCATGAGCCACTGTGCCCAGCCCTGGCACACCGTGGATGAGAGCCAGAGCTCAGATGATCTCAGGAGATCCATCAACTATTTCTGAGAGAGCCTAGGTCAGGTGTGAACAGGAGTCCATCCCCAGATTGCAGGCTTCATGAGGGCAGGGAGCATGCCTGTAGAGCTGCCTGCTGAAGCTGCAGCACCCCAAATATCCCATGCATACAGCCTAGGCACCCATGTTCAAATACCAAAGCCCACAAATCCTGCAGTAGGAGGAAGAAAATCTTTGATTAGGAATCAAACTTCAAGGTGTTTTATAATAATAATGACACAAATAAGACACCATATTTTTTGTTCATTTATTGGAATACAACAATGATTCTGAACCTGGAAATCTTCGTATGACCTTCAAGAAGACTCCCTAATAAATCTATTGATCATCTTCAAGGAGGCCATAAACACATAAAATTATGCACATATGTCTGTGTGGGCATGAGCTTTTCTGGGGAGGAGGTCCAAAATTTTCATCAGATTCTCAAAAGGATCCCAGAACCTCTAGTGGTTATAAGCATAAAACCACAAGTCTGATTCATATTCATGTACCTAGTTCCTGGCACTGTGGCTGGCACATGACAGGTGCTCACAGAATGTTTGCTGAATCAATGAATCAATCAACTGATGACAGCTGAAAGCAGCAAACTGCCTGATAGGAGATTTCCTGGATGGTCAAACCTCACTAATCCAGAATTTTAGGCAACTTGAATGAACTCTTGTCAGAATATCTTTTGTCACTAGGGAAAAAAAGAGATAAACTAATGGTGCAAACAAGAATGAGTGGTGACTGATGCTGAAGGGTGCCTACTTGTCAGTAAGCGTTTGCAGAATTGCCATTTAGTGCCCTGTTTGTTGAAGCAGGCTCCCCAAGGAACTTTATAAAGTTTGGGGAGAATGTGATGAAATCAGAACCCTCATACTCTACTAGAGGGAATGCAAAATTGTGCAGCCACCTTGAAAAACAGTATGGTAGTTCCTTAGAAAAACCAAAGAGTTACCTTATGACCCAGCAATTCCATTCCTGGGGAAAATTAAACTATATATCCACACAAAACCTTGTACACCAATGTTCATAGCAGCATCATTCATAATAGCCAAAAAGTAGAAACAACCCAAATGTCTATCAACTAATGAAAGGATAAACAAAATGTGCTATATGCACACAATGGAATTTATTCCAACATAATAGGACTGAAGTACTGATCCTTGCTACAACACGGATGAACCTTGAAAATATTACATTAAATGAAGGAAGCCAGACACAAAAGGCCACACGTTTAATGATTCCATTTCTATGAAATGTCAGGAACAGGCAAGTTTATAGAGACAGAAAGTAGATCAGTGGTTGCCTTGGACTGTGGGAGGGAGATTGGAGAGAAATGGGGAGTGGCTGCAATGCATACAGGTTTTTTTCTTCTTCTTCTTTAGAGACAGGGTCTTGCTCTGTCACCCAGGCTGGAGTGCAGTGGTGCTGTCTTGGCTCACGGCAACCTCTGCCTCCTGGATTCAAGTGATTCTCCTGTCTCAGCCTCCTGAGTAGCTGGGATTACAGGCATGCACCAACATGCCCAGTTAATTTTTTATGGATTTTTAGTAGAGCTAGAGTTTTACCATGTGGGCCAGGCTGATCTCAAACTCCTGACCTCAAGTGATCCACCCACCTTGGTCTCTCAAAGTGCTGGGATTACAGGTGTGAGCCACCGTGCCCAGTCACACACAGGGTTTCATTTGGGGGTTTTTTGAGGAAAAGAAATGTTCTAAAGTTGATTGTGGTAGTGGTTGCACAACTGTGTGAACATACTAAAAACCATTGAAATGTACACTTTAAATGGATGAATTGTATACCATGTGAATTGTATATAAATAAAACTATTATGTATTATCATTTAATATGTTATATAATTTAATATGTTATATAGAAGTATATGTATGTTAAAAATATAACTATATATGTTAAATATATAATATTACATTGTATATTTACATCGTACATATTAAGTACATGGTGCCTGGTGATTGTGTTAGTCCATTTTGTGTTGCTATAAAGGAATACCTGAGGCTGGGTAATATATAAAGAAAAGAGGTTTATTTGGCTCGTGGTTCTGCAGGCTGTACAGGAAGCAAGTTACAGCATCTGCCCAGCTTCTGGTAAGGCCTCAGGAAGCTTTTGGTCATGGCAGAAAGGAAGGGGAGCTAGTATGTCACACAGCAAGAGAAGAAGTGAGAGAGAAGGGAGAGATGCCACACTCTTTTAAACAACCAGCTCTCGCATGAACTAATAGTGAGAATTCACTCTTTACCCCAAGGACAGCATCAAGCTATTCATGAGGGATCTGCTTCCATGACCCAAACACCTCCCTCTAGGTCTCACCTCCAACACTGGAAGTCACACTTCAACATGAGATTTGGACGGGACAAACATCCAAACTGTATCAGTTAGAGAGAGAAAGAGAGAGAGAAATACTTATCCTACCTACCCACCAAATGAATGAATGCATAGCTCTGCAGGTCTCTGGTGAAGCCCAAGACACTAATGCATTTTTCAATGAAGCCTCATAATTTCTTTTACAAAATTCGGGCACATTCTGCCTTCTATTTCAAAATGTGGCCATGTTAATTTTAATATAAAAAATATTTTTTTCTCCAAATTCATGAATAAAATTTGTGCTCTAAGAAGAAAAAATAAAGCATGTATAAAGCTCATGTGTGTGTGTGTGTGTGTGTCTGTGTGTGTGTGTGTGTGTGTGTGTGTGTGTGTGTGTGTGTGTGTGTGTGTATGCAGAGAAAAATGACTGGAAGGAAATGTGCCAAGATATTAGCAGTGGTTATCTCTATCTGGGTAGTGGGACTACAGTTGGTTTTTTCTTCTTCTTCTTGATACTTTTTTCCTTTCCCATGGTCTTAATGCATGTTTCATAATATTAAAGAATAAACATTGTTTAGTTCAACAGTTGAGGTCCCAGAGGGAAACATCAGGCAATGTCCTTCTGGAGACCACTTGGCACAGCCCTCACTGTGATGCACACACCCTGACCTCATGCCCCAGGCATCAAAACTGAGCCCTATGCGGGACGTGTGTGCACACAAGGAAGCTTCCAGCATTCCCTGCTTTCTGCAGGTGCTGGTAGAGAAAGTGGATTTATTCCCAGAGAGGAGATAAAGCCAGAGCCTTTGCAATATTCTGAAGAAAGAAAAAGCAAATGGTCATTATATGACAACAGCTAGAGGAGGCACATAAGGGCTGGGCATGACATGGGGGACAGAGCTCTGGACTGGACATTAAAAGACATGGGTTCAAGCCTCTGATTTGCTTCCAACCAGCTGATGACCATAGTCAAGTCACTTCCTCTCTCCATGCTTCAGATTTCCCCTCTATTAAACAAGGGAATTGGGTCCTTCTGATGGTTTACAATTCTGTGGATTTACATCTGCTGTCCTCGTTTCCACCATTCATGTAAAAAAGAGTAGGGATCCCCTCATATTGACTGCCCAGCACAGCCCTTGTTCCCCAGGAATCTCAAGAACCATTCTGCCCCAAAAGGCAGTCTCTAAATTGACACATGCCTCTTTTCCACCCACCTAATTGGAGAAGACATTCTTAAGAAGGCAGCATGAGCAGACACTATTCCCCACCCTTTGTACCCCCAAACTTCCTCAAATGTGATGATATGTATTGAGCGTGGACTAAGTGCCAGGCCCTAGTGCTATTCAGTGAATAAGACAGACACTGCCCTGCTCACTCAGAGCTCACAGGATCCACAATGACCACCAATTAAGGACCACCTGCCTTGTGAGAGGGGGATTCACATGCAACAACTTCTTATAGGCCTTACATCAACCCCATGTGGCTGATACTACCATTCACATTTTACAGCATAGAAAATGTAGCCTTAAAGAAGTGAAGTGCTTTGTGCCAGATCAGGGAGCGAACGTGGTAAGGCCAGGGTTCTGACCCTGATCAGTTACACTTCAAAGGCACCTGTGATTTGTCAGTGGTTCTTAACTTCACAGGCCAGGCTGAACAAAGGACTTCAAAATGAGGTGGGTCTTGAAGTCTCCGTCTGATCTCCACCCTTTTGATCTGGTTATAAAAAATAACTGGAGAAAAGCAAAATAAATTGCAATAAACTTGACGCCAAAACATAAAACTTGCTATTGATTTTATAAGAGCAAGCTATGAGCTCAGACAAATCAATTTGTATTATAAAACAATAGCCTATAACATAGACAAGACACTAAATAAATATTGAATCACAACATGAGAAAGTTGCTTTTTCGATTCTTTTTCTGTCCTTCTAATTATACCAGGGAAAGTCTCAATTTGGTGCTACCAGGTCTTTAACACCTTCTTCAACATTTGCCAATCTCCCTTTATAACAAAGAAAGAGCAGGCCTCAAGCTCAAAGCCTTGGGCAGGCAACAGTATCAACCAAACATTAATAACCGTGTTTTATTTTGATTGTTTATGTAGGGGTGGTATTTTATGGTCACTTTCTATTTGAGGAAATTGATATTGGTTTTCTATTTACTGTGGTCATGTAAATTTCCCTTTTGAGCTACATTTACTGATATTTTTAATGAGTACATTCACTGACATTTTTAATGAGTAGATTTAAAGGACAATATTAAATTCACGACACCATAGAAATGGTATACAAGCAGGGCAAAAATAAAAACGGTGGCACTGGGATGGCTGAAGCTTGAGGAATGCTGTCCCATGAAATTAAAAATAACCCAGCCATGTAATTATATTGTCCTGAAGGTAGATTGCAAGTTACCTAAATAGCACAGATCCACTATAGCCCATCATTATTAAAGCAAATTTTTGAAGGCTTACGTAGCAGTTACTTTAGCAACAGAGGTATAACAGAATCATATTCGAGCCACAAGACATATGTGCCTGAAAGTCTAATTACTGGAAAATTATAGGCCTCAGAAATACAGCTATGCCTCACTGCATGCTGCAGGGCTGGCTGAGTAGCTCATGGTAATTGGATAAACCACATCTACATAGAGGTTGTGTGGAAAGGAATAACCCTTCCCCCAACACCCTCAACAACCTCGATGATTCATTCATTCATTCACTCATTCAGTCATTCATTGCAATTTTTACTAGGTCCCTGCTAGATACATTGGAATACCATGAAGGGCTACAAAGGCCTGACAACTGCTCCTAGCAAGTTTCCAGTCCAGGGTGGGGTCCCCAACTTCAACCCCAGCCTTCCATGCCTGAGTGTCTAACTGCCAACTAGGCTCTGAAAAGAGCCCCATTCTTTGAATACATTTAACAAAGGAACCTGCCTACCCAGAGGTGGGTGGTCAGGGGAGGCTTCCTGGAGGAAGTGAGCATCAGGTTGAGATCTGAAGAAAGAGTAGGAATGAACGAGGGAAAGTGGGAGAGGAGAAGGATGCGAAAGGGCAGGTGCTTCCGTGTGTGGGTGTGGCCTCGCATCCCACGAGCAGCCCACAAGGTGAGCATCTCGCCCTGGGAGTGTGACTCTTGGATTCCAAGATATGCATTTCATATGTCTTGACCCCTAAATACAATCCAGTAATGGCATCCGTTCTTCAGTAAGAAAACAGCTATCTGATCCCAACACTGAGGAAAAATGTAGGGATGTTGAGTGGGTTTCCGCATCACCCTCACCCCCATGGGATTTTAAAGAAGGATTGTGACCACTCAGAACTTTCATCAGATGCACCAACATTTTAAAAATATACAAAAACAGTTGTTCTTGACCCTGGCTGCACTTTTGACTCCCTAGGGAGCTTTCAAAATCTCCAAGCCCAAGTCACACCCAAACCAAGTTAGTTAGAATCTCTTGGGGTGGAGCCCAGGGGTCAGTAATGTATAAAGCTCCCCAGGGAATCCAATGTGCAGCCAAGGCTGAGAACCACATAAGGAACCTGACCTCTATGGTGGATATGGTGGATGCAAATCTACAAAGACACACTGAGCACTTATTATGTGCCAGGCACTGGGCTGGGGGTGAAGTGGAGATTCGTGAGAATCAGATCCCACTGTGGTTTAACAATAGTGTGGAAGATGGCACCCACTTTCAAAGTATGCACTAGAACCAAGATAAAGATGAAAATTTCTCTGGTCACACCAATTGCCTGGGGAGCTCAGTGCAGATTCTGTGTCAGTAGGTCTGGGTTGGAGTCCAAGAGTCTGCATTCCTAGCAAGCTTCCCCTGGATACCTGAGATGCTGCTGGACTGAGAACCACACCTGGGTGGCAAGATTCTAAAGGAAATCTCTCAGATCCAGGCTACTTTTCCCCACCATGTCTCCACTACTCTGACAAGGCTGAGCATTGTCTGGAGATGATTTTTTCTTAAATTTAGGAAAAGAAGGAAATGCACCCTCGCAGCCTGCCAGGTGTGGGCTTGTATCCCCATGTCAGCTCCCAGCACACACCTTCAGATTCAGAGCAAGGGGCATAGCTCAAGAAGAAAGAGAAGGGCTGGGGAGGGGGGTGCTGAGTCAGAGGTTTTCAAAAATAGCAAACTCTCTGTGCCCAGCAGCCCCCGCTGCCTAATGAGTCCCCTATCTGGGGCCAGAACAAAGGCAAGGAAATTCAAGAAGCATAGAGATCAAAACCGCCTCCGAGGCTCTCCCACAATGAGTCTTCGTTTCTAATTAATCATCCCATTCTTGGCAAATCAATTGTGCATGTTTTAAAATCCGTATACCAAGAGCAAGCGATGGGGTGGGAGTTGAAAGCAAGAGGGTTCTGGAGCTGAGCTCGGGGCCATGAATTCTTGCGGGAGTAGCCGAACAGCAGGAGGGAACAGTAAAGTCAGCTGTGACCCATTCGGCAGAACCAGAAAAGAATAGATCAGGGGACACAAACACGTGCAGAGACCAGGCAGGTCATGGGAACCAGTGGACTGGACAGGGGTTCGTTGAAGGAGCGATGGGAGCAATGGTGGACCAGTCAGGGATTGGTCCACCTGACCCCAGAGGGTGGCTACTCAGTGCCAGCCCCTCCTTGCCAAGCAGAAATTCAGGCCTGGCTTTGCTGGATCTCCCTTTTTTTATCTGAAAATATCTGAAAGTAAGATTCTTTTAAATATGAAATATCCTGATTTATAGAAGTTGTCTCAAATGGTTTGGAAACACCATGCCATCCATCAGAATATATTGGAGAACCACATATGGAGTGCACGCCGCCAATGTGTAACCTCTGAAGTAGAGACTGGAGGAATTACCTGGAAAATGAAAAGTTATTTCCAATTAATTTAAGCCCAAACCCATCAGATTCTCTGGGAGTCCTCAGATGAAAGAATGAAAGAGAATGTATATTTGTATATTCACATCATGCCTACTGGCAGCAGACACTGCATCCACCTCTCCAGTTGCTTATTCATTCAAACAAGACTAACTGAGCAGCTACTATTTTTCAGGCCCTTTGCTATATGTGCTGTCAACAGGTCATCCCTGGGAGCAAGGAACATAGAAGTCCACAAGATCATTTCAGATAGTGGTAAGTACTCAAAGGTGCATAAAACAGGGGGTCGTCGGCCAGGTACGGTGGCTCACGCCTGTAATCCCAGCACTTTGGGAGGCTGAGACAGAAGGATCACTTGAGGTCAGGAGTTCGAGGCCAGCCTGGCCAACATGGTGAAGCCCCAACTTTACTAAAAATACAAAAATTAGCCAGGCGTGGTGGTGCACACCTGTAGTCTCAGCTACTCAGGAGGCTGAGGTGGGAGGATTGCTTGAGCCCCAGAGGTGGAAGCTGCAGTGAGCCATGATCACGCCACTGCACTCCAGCCTGGGCAACAAGCAAGACTCCACCTCAAAAAAAAAAAATGGGGGGTGTGATGATGGCAGTCAGGAAGCAGCTGTGTGAGCAGGCAGGGTGGGCTCCCTGAATCTGAAGGATCCAATTATCAGCCATCAAAATCTCAAGATGGACTGTACCAGCCAGAGGAAATTGCCAAGGCAAACACCCTGAGGTAGATTTGAGCTTGAATTATTTTCATTCATCATCAAGATAAATGTATGAGGCATTGTTGTGCCCATTGATCAGATGAGGACACTGAGGCCAGACTTGCTCCCAAGATCACATGGCTAGTGAGTAGCAGAAAGCCAATTACTGATCCCCTGTCTTGGACCAGTAATGTCACTAAAATGGGTGACTAACTTGGGGGTCATTTTCCCACCTTTGCACAGCTAAGGATTCTTCCCTAAATCAAAGGAGCCAGCAGAAGAGGCTGCAGTCTGTTACCCCAGAACATTCTTTATGGTGGGGCTCCTCATGGTCCCCAGGCCAGCAGCTGTCCCTGTATTTGAAGCATTCAGGGCATTCATCTTTCTCACCAACATCCACACATACAACACCACATTAAGACTTCAAGACCACCTCCCTGGGGACTGTGGGAAGCCCCTGAGGTTTTGGTGGAAGCATCTGCTGAGATCAGGGCATCCAACCAGCAACTGGGCTTGACCCACATGCATAGGAGAAATGAATCATCACAGTGGCTCATTATGCTTTCTAATACCTTTCAAGCTCTTCCTCCCAGTTTTATGCTTCTCAGCCTGGAGCTCACTTCCCTGGAATTCCCCAGTGGCTTGCTAATGAAAACATCCTTGTGGAACCTCTTTCTTCAATGTCTATTTGACTCAGGAATTACAGAGTGGAAACCCATCATTTTTCCCCAAAACAAGCACAGGTACTTTTGTGTCCAGATTTTGCCACTGATGCTGTCTAGCAAAGCACCTAAGATTCTGTGGCTTAAAACCATAATACTTCATTCTCACTCACATATTTGTGAGCTGGGGGGTGATCAGCTAACCTGGATGGGCTTGGCCAAGCTTGGCTATTAGCCATTGATTGGATCCCAATCTGCTCCAGGTGCCACTCACTCTCCCTGGACAAGTTGGGTAGCCAGGGCATGTGCTTTTCAAGGTGATGGCAGAAATTCAAGAGGGGTGAGAATAAGCCCATGAAGACTTTTAAAGCCCAGGTGAGGAACTGGCACATCGTCACTTCTGCCCACATTCCATTGGCCAAGCAAGTCACAAGGCCACACCCCATAGATGTGTAGAAGAAAGTGAATAATCACAGTGTTCCATTATATCTTCCAATACTTTTCAAACCCTTCCTCCCAGCTTAATGCTTCTCATAAAACTGACCCCCTGTCTTGACCCAGTAATGTCACTAAAGTGAATGACTTATTTGGCATCATTGTCCTATCTTTGCCTGGCCAAGGTTTCTTCCCTAGAACGGGGGAGCCAACAGGCAAGGCTACAGTCTGTTACCGCATATATTCTCTATAGAGTTCCTCATAGCCCCCAGGCCCAACACCAGTGGGGTGGAGTAGACTTACCCCCTAGTGAAGGCATTGCAAAGACACATCACAAAGGAATCAACACCTGCATGGGGACAGAAAGGATGCTGCATCGGCAGAGGGAGAAATCTGGCTGGGACATAGCCTCAGTGGAGGCTTCTGTTAACCCCACAGAGAATGCTGGAGCTGAGATGATCCTACAGAGCCAGGAAGAGGTGGGACAAGATACCAGACCTTACTACTCCTGCACTGTAATCAATGTGGGCTGTTTCCCGAAGGGACATGGCTTTGAGAAAGTTAAGCAAGAGTGATTTCTACATCAGAGGGGACTCCTGCAGAGGCTGATAGTTGCAGCATCCCCAGCTGCTGGGACAATAGGTTTTCAGTCCCACATCCACTTCACAAGTCCACCCTGACATTTGTGGGGCCGGGGGCAAGAGGATAAATGGGGGTCCACATAGCATATGTCTAAATGCTTAAAATTATCAATCAAGCTTGCTAACGTTAAACAGAAAATGTTCTATCCTCCTACTTTGACAAACAGACCTTTCCCAACAACTTGGAAGCCTAGGATCTAATGAGGAACTCAGATTTCTCAGTGCTCCACGCTGGAAGACAGCAGAGAGAAAGCTGGTCATCCATCTATTTCCCACCCCTCTTAATTTCCCACCCCAGCTTCATCGCACACTAAGAAGGGCCTTGCACCCACAGATGAACACACACAGCCCAGTGCTCAGATCCAAAATCTGTCACTCTTTAGCCATCTTTGGCCTGAGTGCACTGCTCTTGGGAGAAAAGATCCAGGGAAGAAGCCCTGCAAGCCCCTTGGGCAGGGAATCCTCAGCTCCCAGGTACTCAGGACATGCACTAGAAGGAGGAGGAAGTGAGCTCTGGATAACCACTTTCCTGGGGAAGGGCAAGGCCAGAGGAGTATCAGAGCAGGCCTCTGTCTTCCATTGCCCAGGGAAGCCTCTCTTGCCCAAGACCAACTGCAAGGCTGGTCTAGAAGACAAGCAAGTTTTCCTCTTAGGAAGATCAAGCTCACTGGAAAGGCAGCAGAGCGAGGTGGGTAAGAACACAACTCCTGTGGAACCAGACAGCCTGAGTTTCATCCAGGCTCCGTCACTTACTAGCTGTATGATCTTGGCCTTTGTTTCCACATCTGTAAAATGGGAGTCATAAGGCTCATAGGGCTGTCATGGGGGTTAAGGGATATCACACATCTAAAGGCCTTAGACCTGGTGCCTAATAAGGATTACATAAGTGTTTGATGAATAAAACCACCTCCCAAAGCATCACTTTAACATGATATTCTAGTAAAAGAGCCTTCTTTCTCATAAGGGGTGGGGAAGAGGAAGAGTGAGATGGTGAAAGTGACAGAAAATCACATCCTGCCACACGAGCGAATTGCTTGACTTCCCCAGACCCCAGACATCCAGCAAAATCCATACCCTTCAAGGATGGGCCACGGATGGCTGTGGCACCATGTAGCCACCCCCAACATGGGCAGAACGGCCCACTCCCTGCAGTTCATGGGGCCTGGCCTCTCTGACAAGAGCCACAAAAGTAAAACGTGGCTCAAACTGATTTGGAAAAACCATGGAAGAGAAGACCTGACGTGGTCAAGCTTGTTCCAGAGGAGGAGCTGGGAGAGTGTGTGTGTGCATGGTGTGTGTGTGGAGTGTGGGGGGGCGTGTGTGTGTGTGGCATGTGTGGGGTGTGTGTGTGCATGTGTGGCGTGTGTGGCGTGTGTGGTGTGTATGTGACGTGTGTGGTGTATGGGGGCGTGTGTGTGGGTGTGTGTAGTGTGTGTGGCGTGTGTGTGTGGCATGTGTGTGGTGTGTATGCGTGGTGTGTGTGGTGTGCATGTGTGCATATGTGTGGTGTGGTGGGTGTGGTGTGACGTGTGTGTGTGATATGTGTGGTGTGTATGATGTGTGGGGGGTTTGGTGTGTGTGTACGTGTGTGTGGTGTGTCTGTGGCGTGTGTGCATGTGCATGTGTGTGGTATGGTGTGTGTGTCGTGTGTGGTATGTTTGTATGTGGTGTTGGAGAGTGATGTGTGGGGGGGGTGTGGGTGTTGTGTTCATATGTACAGGTGTGTGGTGCATGTGTGTGGTGTGGTGTGTGTGGTTTGTGTGGTGTATGTGTGTGGTGTGTGTGGTATGAGTGTGTGTGTGCATGTATGTGCTGTGTGTGCCGTGTGTGTGATGTGTGTGTGAGCATATGTGTGGTGTGTGTTTGTGATGTGTGGGGGGTGTGGTGTGTGTGTGTACATGGGTGGTGTGTGTGTGAGTACACAGTGTGAGATGTGTGTGTGGTGTGTGTGTGTGGTGTGTGTGTGATGTGTGTGTGGTGTGAGTGTGTGTGGTGTGTGTGTGGTGAGAGTGTGTGTGGTGTGTGTGTGATGTGGGGGTGTGTGGGGTGTGTGTGGTGTGTGTGTGTGATGTGTGTGTGTGATGTGTATGTGGTGTGGTGTGTGTGTGTGTGTATATTAAAGAGAGAGACAACACAATCCTGGAGAGATGCTCAGAAGGTACCGCCAGGAAAACGAAGTTCATGGCAGAGATCCCCTAGACAGAACAGATGGAATCAGAAGCTCAAGGAATCACTTTCATGAAAAATCTGGGGGCACTCTGGGTTCAAGCAGTTCTTCTCTGGGGCCCAGCTGACCGAGGCAAGCCTGAATGAAAAGGAAGTCCCTCCACCCCATTCTAATATGGGCTATGGAAAGCGGACAGGAGTAGAATTACCCAGGGCCCAGGAGGGAAGCAGTGTCCTTCGAGAAGACCCTGGCAACTGGGTCCTTCTGGAGAGGCCTCCCTCACGTGGCCTGTGGCCCAGGGACTTCCTCTGCGAGCTCGATGCAGAACCTGAATGGACAACTTCTGGAACACGAGGAGGTGCCCCTGGAGACCCACTGAAATCACTGGGGGAGATACTGAGGAAAAAGTGAGGTCTCACAAGTAAGGACTGAAAGCCATGTCATTTGGACACTTCTGTTCTTGCAGCCCCATTTGTATAAGGCCAGGGATATTTGCTGCAGTTACATTTTCATAGCAACAATACTTACTGAGCACATACTATGTGCTGACACTGTGCCAAGGGCTTTATTTGTATTAACCTATTTAATTCTCACAACAACCCTATAAGATAGGCACTGCTGGTACCCACTTTACAGATGAGGAAACAGACTCAGTTAAGTGACTTACCCAAGATCACACAGCTAGTATGTGAGGAACCGGGATTCAGACCTGGACAGTCTGGCTCTAGAATGCAATCTCTTAACTGTACACAGTCCTACCTCTCTTAACTCCCACAGTGCCTTGCACGGAGCTTAGCCCATAGAGGTGCTCAGGGAATGTCTGTTACATTGAAGCAAAGTCTCCGTGAATTGAATCTGTTGGAATCAGGTGCTGTCGTTCCCACCGATTTTGTGTTCTTGTTTTGGGCCATGGTTTCTGCTAAGGCAGGGCCTTTGTCCAAGTAATGTCCTCATCACTGTGTTTAGCAAGTGCTAAGTCCCCCAAGCACCATCTGCAAACAAGGAGCCTGGTCCTCCCTTCCACTTCCTCCCCTGTCTCTGCAGCCTCTTGCTTCTTATATATCTCCCTACTTTCCTCCAGCTCATGGGCTCATGGCTCCCTCCTGGGCTACAACTAAATCTTCTGGGCCTATTTCAGATGCATCCCTATGAACCTCTCTTAGCAATAGAGCCTTCAGAGTAACTTCTCTCACTGCAGAGTTCACCTGAATGGGGAGGAGGTGGTTGTCTGGCCAAAGCTAAGCATTGGGGGTGCTGGTTTAAACTTTCTTCCTTTTCTTGGGGCTTTTAAAGCCCTTATAGGAAAATTCCCACTGCCTGAGATGCTGAGCTTCCACCTGTGGGAATCCTGATCCCCCATCCACTCTTCATTACCATGTGAGAAATACACAAAACAGGGCTGAGCTGTGCAGCAGTGAGGCTGCCACTCCTGAAATTGGCCATTGAGCCACAAAGGAAGCCTTTACATCACACAATTCTAGTTTCTGATCTGCTGATAAACATTCATCCATTCAGAAAATATTTATGGCATCTGTGATGCTGTAAGCACTGAGATGGGTGGCAGAGAGGCAGCACAAAACCAAATGCACCTTGTGAAATTTACAGCCAGGAGGTCAAGTGCCCTTTCCAAACCTCAGGGGTTTTGTTCTGTAAAGTGGGGGTGCTCATAAAGACATAAGGTCCCCTCAACAGTCTTTTTTTTTATTATTTGAGATGGAGTCTCGCTCAGGCGCCAGGCTGGAGTGCAGGGAGTGGCACGATCTCAGCTCACTGCAACCTCCGCCTTCCAGGTTCAAGCGATTCTCCTGCCTCAGCCTCTTGAGTAGCTGGGACTACAGACACGCACCAACACGCCCAGCTAATTTTTGTATTTTTAGTAGAGACTGGATTTCACCATGCTGGCCAGGATGGTCTTGATCTCCTGACCTCGTGATCTGCCCGCCTTTGCCTCCCAAAGTGCTGGGATTATAAGCATGAGCCACCACGCCCTGCCAAAAGTCTTTTTCTTACACTGTGCAACTAATCCCCAACTCTAGGAAAAAGGAGCAATGGAGGGAGAGCTAGGATGCAGCCTCTGGTTGAATTCCCCATGATTAGGTCATTTCCCACTCCGGGCCTCAGTTTCTTCATTGGTAAAACAAGAGGCTGGACTGCATGGTTTCAGAGAACTCATCTTACTCTAACAGCCTGTGACTCTTCAATTCCAAGATTCTGATTCTAGCATGAGAATACCTTCTGAGTTCAGGAACGGACGTCTTGTAATTCTGAAAACAAGTCTCCTCCACACAGGATGCTCACATCATCACCTTCACGAAAAGCAGCAGAAAGGGAATTGCTTCTCACCGACTTGAGCGTGAAGGTGTGTGGAGACCCTCCCAGGAGCTGCTCTCTGCAGATCTCCCCAAGTCACTAAATTTATCTTCCCCATCATGCTCTTAATCTCTGAAAATTAATGGCATGACCATCAGCTGCCTGAAGAACATAGCTGACCTATCACCAATAAATCAAAAACTCTCAGTGATGCTTCTGAATAAATGATACCCACTTGGATCATCAGGCAGGCTGGCTAGAGATGTTTAATGTACCCTGGGAGATACCTAAACCCATGCCGTACTTGGGTGGGGAGGTAGGGAGCTTGGTAAAGAAAGCAAGAGGTGAGAAAAGCTGAGAAGGCAGGGGGCTTGGTAAGGAGAGCAAGAGGTCCCCAGAGTCATCCCTGGGTATTTGCACAGATTCAAACCCAAAAGAGCTCTCCTAGTCAGGCATGGCTGTGCCTTGCCTGAAAGGAAAATATTTCCCAGAGGGAGAGGGAAAGATGTCCCAGACATCGTTTAATGATGTCTCAAAAGATCTTGAAAACCTGTAGAGGGGCTGGGCATGGATCCCAGCACTTTGGGAGGCTAAGGCTGGAGGATCACTTGAGCTCAGGACTTCGAGTGCAGCCTGGACAACATAACAAGACCCCTGTCTCTACAAAAAAAAAAAAAAAAAAAAGAATTAATTACCTGGGCCTGGTTGCTGGTGCATGTAGTCCTAGATTCTCCAGAGGCTAAGGCAGGAGGATCACTTGAGCCCAGGAGTTTGAGGCTGCAGTGAGCTATGATTTCACCACTGCAGTCCAGCCTGGGCCACAAAGTGAGACCCTGTCTCTAAAAAATAAATAAATAAAAAATAAAAACCTATAAAGGGTTAAGGAAAGAGATGTCAACTCAGAAACCTCAATGACAATCCTAACTTTTCTAAATATTTTGTTTGGCCAATTTCTCCATCTACAAAGCGGGGACTCCACTAAACAGAGATGCGTCCTTCCCTTGGCCTTGCACGGTTCGGTGATAAGAACCGACTAGCCCTATTTTACACAAATATAATAGGAAACAGACGCTCAGGAACGTGAAGCAACTTGTCCAAGGTCTTTCAGCAAAGGCAAGGCATGAGCCCAGTGCTGTGCCTTGTCTCCTGCAAACAGAAGTGGTGGGAACCCTATGTCTTATTTGGCCGCTTTTTCACTATTGGGGACTGGAGCCCACAAGGAAGTCCCAAGCTATGCACCCCACCCAGGGCCTCTGAGGTTTGGGTTGCAACAGATTGATGTGACTCACACAGTCTTCCTACGCATACCCCCAGCTCTGTGTTTCCTCCCACATGGCAACTCTGAGAAACTGGCAGATGGGCAGCTCCGGCCATGGCCGGAAGATCCTTTGGAGTCGGTTCCAATGGATGCCGTGTGCAAGGACATCCCATGCCCTGCCAGGAGCTGTTTGAAAGTTCCAACCAAGCTTGGATCATGGGAAGCAAGCTCTACTTGGAAATGGGTAAGGAAATGCACTCAGGGCTACTTATGCTCAGCCCCTTACCAACATGCAGGCCTCTCTGGGAGCATCTTAGCACATCAGGCATCGAACAGTTCTGCCTCAGAACTCAGTGGTCCTACATCCGAGGGAGATATGTGGATGCTTGCCTCTGTGCCATCACTGCATTCTGCCAACTGGAAACTCGACCCAGGTCCAGGGCCTAGAGTCTCCTGCACATTTCCCCCATACCCACAAGAACATAACCATCAACCTCTAGAGCTGAGAAGGTGATCCAATGCGATGGTTTTTAAACTTAAGACATCAAGGCCTTTCTTTAAACAAAATCTTACTCAAAATCCCAACAAGCAAAACAGATGAAAGGGAGAAATTAGAAATGAGAATCCCAGTCCCATCCTACCTGACTTCCTCTTTCCTTCCAAAGCAGCCCCAGGGACCTTCCACAGAACTCTGGGGCCCCAGGGAACCCAGTTTGCAAACCACTACTCTAGTCAGATGGAGAAACAGGCCCAGAAGGGAAAATGTCTGGCAAGGAGGCGATGCAAAGGTGATGCCCCTTCCCAGGTGGGGGTGCTGAAAACCTGAGCAGGAGAGAGGCAGCCCTTTACCTGGGCCAAGTCAGAGTCTGATTGTGAGTATTTGCCTAACACCAGCACACTTTGGTTGATTTGTTGGTTAGTTAGTTTGTGGGTAGGTTGGATAATGTATTAGTTGCTCAGTGAATGGTTGAGTAGTTAATTGGCTGGTCCATTTGTTCATTGATTATTTGGCTGGTTGGTTGGTTAGTTGGTTATTCAGTTGGTTGAATGGTTAGTTTTCTAGTTAGATGGTCAGTCCATTGACTGGCTGGCTAGCTGGTTAGCTAGATGTTTAGTTAGTTCATTGGCTGTCCTTTAACTGTCCGGCTGGACAAATGAGTGAGTTAGTGGTTGCATATATAGTGCATTGGAGAAGGCTCCCAGACATAAGGGGCACATAGGAAGAAAGAGGCATCAGGCAAATGGCCTGAGACAAGAAGGGAGAAGTGGGGTTCACTCAGGGATTTCAGTAAAAGTGAAGGTTTAAAAAAAGTATTAGTTGCTATTGCCAGAGCCTGTTTGTCAACTTCTTGAACAGGGAAGTGAACAGGTAAACCAATGAATATGAGTGTCCTATATAAACTGTAAAATCCAGTGTGCACGTCAAGAGTCTCCCCCTCTCCCTCCAAGTCTCCAGCCCCTCCTGTTTTCTCTTCTTCCACTGCTTCCCCCAAACAACATGTTCTTCAATCCTTTACCCACCTAGGAATGTCAGTGATGGATAACAGCTCTCTCTTACCTCTCCATCTCTCTTTCTCTCTCTCCCCCCGCCACCCCT